>NC_000004.12:115739562-115891077 GCF_000001405.40 Homo sapiens
ACATCATTGCTCATTGCATATATTAGTGTTAATTTTGTAAAAATTATAAAATATATAAAATTTTGAAAAAATCTTGATATTCTAAAGCCATAAATTATTAGTTTACTTTAATAATACATGTATTTTGATTGTAATTAAATTAGTATATTTTAATTTATTTTAATAGCATTTATTATAAAATTTTATCAAAACCACAATTTTCTTATTGTATCACCATTTTATTTTTAAAAATGGAGGAATCAAATAAAGTGAAAAGGAGTAATAAATAGTTAAATTTACAAAATCAAATTAATTTTTTAAGGTGTACAATATGAGATGAAACTCTCTCTCCCTATATTGCAGTAATACATGTTTATGCATATCTGTCACTACAACATACTCACTAGCCAGGTCACAACCCTAAGATGAACACTTTCATGGAAATATTTAATCAACAATTTAGATCAATAGGTACAAGATAAACACATCTTCCCTGCCTTAAGTCTTTTTGCTACATATATTAATGTGACTTAGTCTTCACTCCAGTAGAGTCCCTCATTCTCTATGACCTCTTCAAACATTTACTGGACAATTTGTGTCTTTATTCTCTCAGTGATTTTGAATTTACAAATAATTTAAAATCCATATTAATTCCTTCTTCAGATAGATGTTAACATCACTAATAGTAGGAATAAGTCTTATTTATTTTCTATTCTATGTAAATCTAGTACTTTAGTGTTGAGTATATTATATGTTCAAAATATCTCTTGATTATTAAAGAATATAATCCTAAGGTTATTATTTCCACTGATGAATACAAGTAGAATTAAGAGTAAAGCTTTCTATAGCTACTTAAACAGGTTAAAGTTAAGTAGTATTTCAAATAACTTATACTATTTTAACATTAAAAATATTACTGAAATTCTATGTATAATCAATACAACAAAATAGAAAAACCCAAGTATACATTTGGAATTTTTAAATATTTTGCTGATACATAATTGTTGCATATTTATGGGGCACATGATGTTTTGATAAATGTATACAATATGCAATGATTAAATCAGGATAATTGGGATATTTGTCATCGCAAACACTAAGTATTTCTTTGTGTTGGGAACATTCAAAATCTCTTCTGTGCTTTGAACAACTATATTTAAAAGCTATTACTAATACATTTTCTATTTGAGAAATTTAAAAGAAATAGAATGTCATCACTATTTATCTTTAATACATATCACTGCATAATAATAATAGTAATACCTCCTGCAATCCTGTTTTTTTTCTTTCCCAGAATGTGAAGTAACTTTCTAAAGCACATTTAATTATAAATAAGTGTAGTTTCCAAAATACTGTTTTCAAAATTAAAGTCAACTTTAGAGTTGATTGTATTCCAAACCTACAGAAGCTGTTGCTCAGACAAATGAATACATTTAAAGAAGTGAAAAGAAAGAATACCAGATGTTCCCAAGGAATAGCAAAATAATTTAAAAACCAGTAAGATGTGAAACAAGAGCCATGAAACAAAATGTTAAACGAAGTGAGGAGCAGCTGTTGAGCTGTATATCTCAAATGTTTACAGCTCAAAATGAAATGTGCTGAAATAAAAATAAACATGAAGAAAATTCTTCTGTAGAGAAATGTTCAAAATCACCAAATAAATGCAAAGTCCAAAATTATTAGATTAAATTAACATAATTTGCATTGTGAAGAGAAATAAGAAAATATCTGACTTGATAAGTATTAGACAAAGAAAACAAATAATATATAAATTAGTAAGCTAGTAATGCTGCATCAACAATTTTGCACAGACCAAAATATTTGATAGATATCACTAGTAGTAATAATAATAATATGTAATTTGTATTTATAATTTATTATATAAGAAACAAAAGTTATTAGGTTAATGAATAAAAATTTGACTATTAATAAAATGGAAGCTTAACAAAGCCTAATTAAAAACTTGAAAATAATAGGAAAAATAGCTTTACCGTTTTATCACCTTCATATAAATTATCTTACTTTTTACTTTAAAGAGTATTAAAATTAACTACATAATAAGTGCTTACAGAAAATTAATGAGTTTTTATCGTCTGTAGACTAAGAACTCTTGAAAACATGGATATTTTCAATGATGCATTTTTTTCTTTTCTGTTTTTTTAATCCCATCTGGTTTATCATTCTCTTCTCTAATTAATTAGTGTCATTCATTGAACAAATATTTTTGGGGAAATTAGGATGTGTAATGCTCTGTTTAAGATATTTGAGATACATCAATAAACAGAAAGTCTAAACTCTGCAACCATGGTTTTTGATTCTAGTAGGAGTAGACAGTTAATAAACATAATAAATAAGTAAAATATGTAATAAATTTGAAGGTGACAGTTGCTATTGTCAAAATAAAACAGAGTAGAAAGAAAAAAGAATGTGAGAAAATAAAATTTTAAAGGGAATGGTAACTGGTAATTAGAGGCTTCTCTGAAAAGGTCACATTAAAACCCAGAGCTTATTTTGAGAAATTCATGCTTTTATTCTTAGAAACCGATTGTATTTCTATAGTGTCCTAATTGTTTTCATTAAGTTGTGCTTAATGTATTTTTAAAACTTTGTATTTAATTTTATTTTGCTTGCACTTCAAAGATTTTAAGCAGGCTTTTTCATTTTTTTGTTTCGGAAACTGTTCTACCTTTAATATTTTCTTTTTCTCTTTCATAAGAAGCAGCATCTCCTCTTATATTTGCAAAACATCTACTAAATATATTTTAAATGTTTTACTTATTATAGAAAACAATTTTCATCTGGATCTTATTATTGAGTTATAAGGGAAAATTTCCATTTCATTTATAGTATTTTATTTTATATAGGTTTTGTCACTGTAAGAGTTATCATTTAGTGTGTGACAAATTACCACAAAGTATTTTTAAACAATATGTATTTATTATTTTATAATTTCTGCATCTCAGGAGTCTGGGCATAGCTTCGCTGGGTTTGTGCTTCAATGTCTTGCAAGGCTGCAATCAAGGTATCAACCAGGGCTGTTATCACATCAGAGATTTGTTTGGGGAAAGATTTGCTTCCAAGTTTGCTCAGGTTGTTGGCAGGCTTTGTCTCCTTGTATATATAGCTATTACCTCCTGTTTCTTTTCTGTCTATTGGCAAGGGGCCACACACAGCTCTTAAAGGCTTTCCACCTTTCTTTGGAACATGTCCCTCTCAAATTGGTCTATTCAAAATATGGCAGCTAGTTTTTCAAAGCCAGCAAAGGAATCATTGCTCTCATTCATTCTAGTAAGAGAGAACCTTTACACAGCATAACACAACAGTGACATCACACCAATACTGCCATATTCTATTGGTTAGAAGCAAGGAATAGGCCCTTCCCAAACTCAGGCTGACGCAGGGCATAAACCTGGGGCCAATCTAGGGTCTGCTATCCACAATTATAAATGTGAATGTCTCTGTTTAAGCCTAGTCATTTTCAACAGGCAGTATCAATGAGATATCCTTAGTTCTCTTCATTTTCAACATATTTTTGGGAGCATTGACCTCTCAAATATAGTCCTTCAATTCAAATTAATTTGTTATGCCTAGTAAGCATGCCTATTATGGTGTTCTGTAGGATGGACTGACCTTTTGATCCTGTGACAAGATTAAATAATAAATTCAGCCTGAGAAACTTTTTCTTACTAATATAATAATTTTGAAATCATCTTTTATTTTGATCTCTGCCTTTTCATGCAACCACTTCACTTATGCTACTATGAGTGCCAGGATATAACTCATACAAAATTATTTTACATTTTATGCTTTATTAAATGACTGCTAAATTAGTAGGACTAATCTTGATAGTGATTTAGAATTGGTCCCATTAGTTTGAGATTGAAAATTTTCTCTAGCTGTTTACAAGATAGTTCTTATATACTTAAGGTAAAATTTCCTTATGTCCTGTTATTATATTCCTTGCAATCTGAAGTAAGACTGAAATAATTGTAATAAATCAAAGTTCATCTCTACCCACCCTCAAGCCTCTTGTCTAATTATAAATGGAAGCATGGAACTTGCATTTGAATTCCAATTATTGAAATAATTGTTAGTAAAAATTTTCCCAAGGCATTCACTTTATTTTCACGTGCATTGATTTGTGACTTCACAGGTTGGATTTTCCTTTATAATATGTCATCATGGTTATTATAAAAGTAAATTGATAGGAGACATAGTAGATGTCATAGTAAACTGGAAATTTTCTATTTATATGTGACCCTGGTATAGTAACATAAATTGCTCAGCAGACTGTTTCAATTTAATTATAAATTATGTTTATTATTTTACCATTCCATATCTATAAGTTTAAAAAACTTAATTTTTGTTATAGCCACATATTCATATCTATTTTAACTTTAATATCAGAAGATAGTCAAAATTATTTTATTATTAATTGTCCTATATGTATTTTTCATTTTATTCACTGATTTGTGTGATTTAATTTTCATATTGAAAAGTTTAGAATCATTTAAAAATCAACATTGCAAATAAAGCAAATTAATTAGAATTATATTTACTGAAGTTTTCTACTAGGCATTAATCCAAACAGTATCAATAGAAAATGGTGAGGAAAAAACTCATTTACTTCTCTTCAACATCCTAATTAATACATTAAATCATAACCTTGTGATTAACCATCAATTTGCACTTTCAGTACTTTAGAATTTGATTGTATAAAATGCTTTAAACTAGACTTTTAATGTCAAGATTGAATAAACTTAAACTTTACTAACTTTAGTAAGTTTAACATTGGCCTTAATGTCACCAATTGGATAAAAACATCATGCTATTGTTCATCTCAAAATTAATTCAAATTGTGGGTCAGTGTGGTCTTCTTTTCTTCTGTACTTGATGTAGGAACAGGAAATGGTAATGTTGAGAGTAAGAAGAAGTATAAATCAAGAATGAAAAATTCACCTTTCTAGGAACAGGTTAAATATTTATTCACTAAAGACACTAAATGTGTTATATATTTTCACATGTATATGAAGAATATAATTCATATAGGATAGAGAGTGGATATTTAAAGAACTGAGGATTCTTTAAAATAAAAAGCAATGTTGCAATGCAAAGTTCTAATTTTTTCAATTTCACTTTATATTATACCAGCTGATACATCAGAAATTAAAAATATATATTATTTTCTCTGTTATTTTAGTCATTACTACTTTGCCAGCCTAAAATACATTGTGATAATGTATTGTTCTTCCCTTGGGTATACTGCAATATTTTTTCCCAACAGGTACAGAATCTAAATATTTTTGACAGTTTTAAAATGAAAGTGCAGCCAAGAAATGAAAGTAGATATAATTGTGTCATTCATTATTCCCATTCTTTTTTGATCAAAAATGTATTTTCATCATCAAATATTATTTACTGTAAGTAATACTGGACTGTCACTCTGATTTTATAATAATGTAATATGCACCACTAAATCCAATACCCTTTGGGACTGAAAATAAGATAGGTCTACATAATTATCTTTCAAGACATGTTTTCAGTTATAAGTGGACCAGAAAACCACTGAAGTATATCTCTCCTTTCAATTTAGCTGATATTATCTCTCTTTCCATTTGTCTTAGCCTTAACTTCAAGAGTTATTGCATAGTCCGTCTGCATTCTTTGTAATTCCTTTAAAATAAATACTGATCATATTTTAAACTGTTATCTATAGTTTCTAAAAATTAAATGCCAAGCTTTATTTTTATACATTTCACATAAAATCTGGGAAAATCTAATAAGTTAAAGCTAGGTGAAAATATAAATTCATGCCAAATGCATACTTATGTATTCTCCTAGGGAAAATTTTAACATAAGAAAACCTCATAAATGTCTATAAAAAAAACAAACTTCTTTTTAAGAATGACAGGAGAAAGAGACTGCACAGCACATGCATTAAAAGGGGAAGAGAGAAAGATTTCTGTAGATAGAGGAGAAATGGAAAAGGTAAAAAGAGAATATTATCGGTGTCTACATGCCAAGAATTTTTAAGCCTAAATTTAAATGGGAAAATGCATTTTATATTAAAAGTTTGAACAGTCCTATAAGTTTAATAAATTTAAGCAAAGGTTATATAACTGCACATAAAGAAAACACCAGACTCAGATAGTTTCATATGAGAAATCTACCTGACTTAAAGAAAAGCTCATCCCAATTGCAAATTGTATTTCTGAGAAAAAGAGAGGACTCCTCCCAACTCAGTCAATGGGATCAATTTAACCTACTAGCAAAACTAGGCAAAGTTTTAGAGGCTGATCTCTACTTTCAGGTATCAAGTTGCAAAATTTGTAAAATAAAAAAAGAATCAAATTAAGTCAACTATGATTTAAAAGAAAATATATAATCACCAGATCCGTTTATTCTCACTTTTCAAGAAGGTATAGTGTGTAAAATATCCGTAAATGTCATTTGTGACATTAATACATCAAAGCAATTTATTCTGAATGGGAAAATAATAGAAGTGTCCCCTTTAAATCGTACATGACATAAAGAAGTCCATCTATATCACTTCTATCCAATGATAATGATATTGGAGGCCCAATTTAGTAAAATGAGGCAAAAATGTAATTAAGGCATAAATTTTGAAAGAAGTTGATAAAACACCTATTTTAGATATTTTCATTATTTAATAATGAACCCTGAAGAATCTGTAGACACAATAGAAATAAAAGGAGTTTCCCATCAATGGTGGATTGGATAAAGAAAATATAGTACATATACACTACGGAATCCTAGGCAGCCAAAACAAAGAACAAAATTATGTCCTATGTAACAACATGGAGGCACCTGGAGGCTGTTGTAATAAGCAAAATAAGGCTTGGAAACAGAAAATCAAACACTGCTTGTTTTTACTTATAAGTAGGAGCTAAACATTAGGTACTCATGGACATAAAGATGGCAAAAATAGACATAGAAGACAACTAGAGGTGGGAGGGAGGGAGTTAGTTGGGCAAGAGGTGAAAAACTAATTATTGGGTACTATGCTTACTACCTCAGTGACAGGATCAATTGTACCTCAAGCCTCAGCATTGCACAATATAGCCAGGTAAGAAACCTGCACATGCACACCCTGAATATTAAAAAAAAGTTGAAATTATAAAAAAATTTAAAAGGAAAGTTTATAAAGTCTGTTGGACATAGAAATAATATCTAAAGTCAGTTGCATTTTTATACTTAAAGCAAACAAATAATCTATTTTTGAATTGCATACCATTTACTGTAGTATTTGAGTACACAAATTTCTTAGGAATTAATCTAACAAAAACGTTAACTGTTGTATGTATTCTAGGAGAGAGAGCTTGAGGAAGAGGACTTTATTATCCAAGGAGAGGAAATCAAGAAACTAAGTGCCAAGAATGCTGTGAGAATCATCAGTGTGTATAATGAAGTTGCAGTTAAGACAGAAGCAGTATCCATAGGATTAGTACGTTGAGCCAAGGACTAAACATTAAAAAAGAGGAGAAATATCCTGGTGGTGAGTAGATAATGGCAACAATAACATTATTTGTAGGTAACATAATTTGACATGAGATTTAAAACAAAGGGCTCCTACCTGACCACTGAAGATTAGGGAGAAAGATTATTTGAAAGGGGCACTTCTCAAAAGAAAACATTTATGCAGCCAACAGACACATGAAAAAATGCTCACCATCACTGGCCATCAGAGAAATGCAAATCAAAACCACAATGTGATACCATCTCACACCAGTTAGAATGGTGATCATTAAAAAGTCAGGAAACAACAGATGCTGGAGAGGATGTGGAGAAATAGGAACACTTTTACACTGTTGGTGGCACTGTAAACTAGTTCAACCATTGTGGAAGTCAGTGTGGCAATTCCTCAGGGATCTAGAACTAGAAATACCATTTGACCCAGCCATCCCATTACTGGGTATATGCCCAAAGGATTATAAATCATGCTGCTATAAAGGCACATGCACATGTATGTTTATTGTGGCACTATTCACAACAGCAAAGACTTGGAACCAACCCAAATGTCCAACAATGATAGACTGGATTAAGAAAATGTGGCACATATACACCATGGAATACTATGCAGCCTTAAAAAATGGCGAGTTCATGTCCTTTGTAGGGACATGGATGAAGCTGGAAACCATCATTCTCAGCAAACTTTTGCAAGGACAGAAAACCAAACACCACATGTTCTCACTCATAGGTGGTAATTGAACAATGAGAACACATGGACACAGGAAGGGGAACATCACACACCGGGGCCTGTCATGGGATGGGGGGATGGGGGAGGGATAGCATTAGGAGATATACCTAATGTAAATGAGAATGAGAAGTTAATGGGTGCAGCACACCAACATGGCACATGTGTACATATGTAACAAATGTGCACATGGTGCACATATGGAACAAATGTGCACATGGTGCACATATGGAACAAATGTACACATGGTGCACATGTACCCTAGAACTTAAAGTATAATAAAAAAAAAAAAAGAAAGAAAGGGGCAATAAGGAGCAAGAAGTCTCACTACCTAAATCCAAGTTCGGTAGCAGAAGAATCAACTTAGGAAATGAAACAAACAAACCAAAACAAAAACCTGAGCTTCTTGAGTAATAGTGTTTTCAGGGAAGTAATAGATTTCCAGAACAATACATTGAAGAAAATGCTTAGAGAAGAGGTGGAAGATATTGTGAATCCTCCCAGTAGTGGACTGTCAGAGTTTGTGGTGTTGGGAAATGTTGAGAGAATGGGGAATCCATGAGGTATGTATGGATAATTACAGGGTTAAAGTATGGAAAATGAAGATTGTCTTGGCCTTCTGGAAACTCCTCTGGTGACTTAAATGATTTTGTATAAAAGGTATAATGAAAGTATTGGTGAATTCCAGTCACTGCTGTGCACATTGTGTGTAGGAGGAGCAGGTTTCTGACTTACCCTTTACTCCTGTGATATGAATTGAAAGCCTTAGTTTTGGTTCAAGCACTAGGTTCACTCTTGCCTCCAGAGAAAGGGCTAACTTATTTTTAGTGTGTTTTCTTAAACCCTATTGTGTATAATTAAGTCTTTAGAGAGAGATGCATATTACCTTGAGCAATAGTACTTCACCTTTATCACTTCTGTTATCTTTCTTTGAAATTCTTTTTTTATTATTATTATACTTTAAGTTCTGGGGTACATGTGCAGAATGTGCAGGTTTGTTACATAGGTATACAAGTGTCATGGTGGTTTGCTGCACCCATCAACCCATCATCTACATTAGGTATTTCTCCTAATGCTATTCCTCCCCTAGCCCCACCCCGAGCAGGCCCTGGTGTGTGATAGTCCCTTCCCTATGTCCATGTGTTCTCATTGTTCAGGTCCCTCTTATGAGTGAGAATATGCAGTGTTTAGTTTTCTGTTCTTGTGTTAGTTTGCTGAGGATGATGGTTTGTGTTTTCTATAGTACATAAATAACATTTAAAAATACTAAATTATACACTATCATTGTAGGAGCTGTCATTGCTATAGTATTCTAGATAATTATTCCTATAGCTCAGTAAGTTTTGAATGTTTTTATCTTTAGAAAGTTCATGTTATTTTGTAAATCAGTCTGTTTTCCTGAATGAGACAACCCCCATCCACATTACACAAATTCACACTCACATAAACTCATGTTTTTTGTATTTTTAAATTTTCTTAAAGTGTATTGTTCTTATATTTAGTAGACTATTGAATTTTGTATATCATTTTATGTCTCATTATATGAGTGTATTTTATTCTAGATAGCTCTCTCTTAATTTTACTCTATTTTACCAGAAGATATTTTGAGGTTTCAAAATCATGATAATTGTCTTCTATTCAAATAGTTTTATAGGTGATTCATTGCATTGAGCAGAATAATGCTGCTTAACAATTATGATATCTTGATATTCCCCATTTATCAGAAGTGAGAAAAAATAATTTGCCTGATTAGTCAGAGGTCAGAATCTGTATTTTCTTCATTAAGGATCCTAGATCTGGTGCAGCAGATGCAATTGGATTTTCCACCTGAAAAAAGCTATTATCCACTGTCATTCTCCAAAACCTATCAGTTTCTGCCCTTGCTAAATGGAAGAATTGAAGGGGCCACTGATTGAAATTGAAACCTCTGCATCTGTAAAGGTTTTCTGTTAGAAAAAAACTTTTCAACTTCCTTGGGTATGTTGTGTTGATACTGATTTACTATTTTTGTTTGGGGGAAACAAGTATCTTCCACTTGACAGTTCTTACCATAAAACAGCCTTTTCTCTGTGAGATAGAAACCTACTTTGACGATTTTTGCCAGTTGCTGGGCTATCATTTCTTATTAAACTTGCAAGAAGTGGGGGCATACTAATTGACTGTATTTTCAGACCTGCCTTTCTCCAACCCTGGGGACATTGGGAAGTAAAATTTGGCCATTTCTCTCTCCATCTTTCTCTCTCTGTCTCCCCACCATGGCATGTGTGTTTGTCTCTATTTCCCCCTCTCTTTTTTTCTAATATGAAAGAACAGGATATAATACACACATAGCATGCAGCTGAAATCAAAAGACTATATATTCTACAGCTTCTGATTTCAGAAAAGATGTCCAAATGGTTAAAAAATCAAAACAAAAATTTTAAGGTGATTAAATAGAGAATTGTAAATATTTTAAAAGTGGATGTAGTAGACACAATTTGCTTTTGCAAGTTCTTCTTATCTTGCTGATCTAAAAAGGACCAAAGGAGAAAAAGAAAGAATAATACAAATTACACAGAGGGCAAGAGTAACATACTCTCTACTCTATTCCTCCTTGAGGGATCCCAGGATGAGAAGAGTACATGCAAGATCATCTTTTTATAGGTTTGAGTGTAAGAACCAATATTAGGAACTTTCACACACTTCTACTCCTAAGTGTGATGAAAGGTAAAATTTGTAGATATGATTAATAATTATTTCTGTGTAGGAAGGACACAAAGAAATATCCAGATGTCATCATTTAATCCCTTCAAGGAACGTGAAAAAAACAGAAATTCTAATTCTTCATTGATCCGTCCAAGTCACAGAATATAAAGTGCTACTGAAGGTGAATGAATTTGACAAGACCCGAAGAGGCCCTTCCCATTGAAATGGTAGCACCTCATTGTGTCTGGGGCTGGGAGGGGCATGGAAGAATGAAATAACCATTTCAGCCAAGTAGGCTCATGAAGAAAGCCCACCTGGATAAATACCTCAGAGTGGAACAGCTGAATCAAATGTATGCTTATGTTTTTAAGAAAGTGGAAAACCATTTTTTCCGAAGTGATTTGTCATTTTAAGTTTCCAATAGCAGAGTTTTAGTTTCTCCCTATCTTTGCCAATACTTGGGTGATCCGTCTTTTTTGACGTTTAACATTATAATGAATAAGTAGTAATTTCCCATTGTATATTTAATTTGTTTTTACCTCCTTAATAATATTGATTATCTTCCTGTGTTTATTTGCCATCTTTATAGCATCCATTCTTTGCCAAAATGTCCAGTTTTATTCATTGTGTCACTTATTTCCTTACTACTGAGTTCTGGCAGTTCTTTCTATATTCTAGATATGCCCTTTATCAAATATATAAAATGCAAATAATTTATACTTTAGCTTCTTAGTTAACAGACTTTTTTGAAGGGTAGATTTTGGTTAAAAATGATTTTCTAATTATCAATTTGTTCTTTTATAGGTCATATTTTAGGAGTCATATCTAAGAAATATTTGCCTAACTCAAGGTCCTAATTTTTTTCTCAATTTTCTTTCAGAAGAATTATCTTTTTAGGTTTCACATTTAGATTTACAATTCTCTCCGAATTATTGAGTAGTACAAAGTATAATGTGATTCAGTTTATTTGCATAAAGATGCTGTGGGGCAATTATCCATTGTTAAGTTTTTGCATGATCTGAAGTTCCACACGGAAGCATTTTAAGTCAATTTAAGAATACAGTTGACCCTTGAACAACCAGGGGTTAGGGGAATTCATCCCATAGGCAGTCAAAAATCCATGTATAACTTTAAACTTTCCCAAAACTCAAGGACTAATGGCTGTTTGTTGACTGGAATCCTTACCAATAACATAACCAGTAGATTAACACATATTTTGTTATGTGATATGTATTATATAACATTTCTTATAATAACATAAGCTAGATAAAAGAAAATAAGAAAAATCATAAGAGAAAACATATTTACTTTTCATTAAGTGGAAATTGATCATCATAAAGCTCTTCATCCTTTACATCTTCATATTGAATAGGCTGAGGAGAAGGAAGAAGAGAATTACCAAACCCTCGGGGTTATCAAAGGTGGAAGAGGTGGAGAAGGTGGAAGGGGAGGCAGGTCACTGGATGCATTAATGTTGGATATTATTATATTTTCTTGGTAAATTGACATATTCATCATTATGAAATATCATTTATTATCTTTGGTAATATAATGTGTTCTGTAATCTGTGTCTGATATTGATAGAGCCAATCCAGTTTCGTTTTTAGTAGAATTAACAAAATGTAACTTTCCCTGTCTCTTTACTTTTCGCCTAGTGTATGTGTTTATATTCGATCACTGCACAATACTTGATGAGAATCCTTTGTCTTTCCCTAGAATTCCCTCTCTTGTAGAATTTTCCTCTACAGCATTCTGTTCTGAATGCCCTTGTCACCTTGGTCTCCCTACTTTCTCACCTCTGTCTGTTTCTCAGTTACACTATTGGGCTAAGCTGAGGCTCCTGCTTGCTGTACCACATTCTGGAAAGTCTCTCATGTTAATAAGATGGGAAAATCATTCGGTTAACATTGTTTGTTTCCTGTCTCTGAGAGATGACTGTATTTTTTTGCTTGATGTCCAGTGTCCTGAAAAGCTGTGTTTAGTCTGTTTTCTCTAAATTTTAGTTTTTTTTCCAGTTGAAATGTAAATACAGTTCATGTTTCTACATTGGTTAGCAAGCAAAAGAGGCTTGAGACCCAATACAATAGAAGCAATATCATGACATTGGGTTTTCTAGAAAAGAAATTGTTTTAATTTCAAGTCAACTCACAAGGAGACAAGAGTCAAGCTTAAATCTGTCTCCTTGTGCTGGTATCAAGGCAGAATTTTTATTTGAAAAAAAAATTCAGGGACTGGATTCTGAAACTCGTAAGTGATTTGTGGAAGGAAAGAGGAGGTCTGGAAAGTCCTTGGGCATGAGCAGTTATCTCTTCATGCCTCTTCATGGGTTTCATTCTCATGTGCAGACTTACAGGGAATTAGTACAAAACATGCAGTGGAAATTCTGGCAGTGATGTCAGCAAGCCCATTCTGTGAAATTCTAGTTGGCCATATTGGTTTCAAAATATTTTAGTCTGTTTTGTTTTCTTATAAGCAGAGAGAGTTTCAGCATTTCAGCAAATTGTTTCTTTTCTTATCTGTCATCCTGAAGACTCAATAATTTCTGTTAGTGATTGGTTTATTTAACTTTTTGGGGCACGGTTTCACATCTTGCTTAGAAGTGTATTTATAATCTTCTATTCCTCTATGTGTTCTTCTTTTCCTATCTTCTATTGTATTGAATGAGTATAATTAGTAAGAAATTTTAAGTATTCTATTTAAAAGTTTTAGTTATTCATTTTGGCACTATTTCTTGTAGTAGTTCTAGGATAAATTATTCATCTTTTATTTATCAGAGTAAATATTTTACAACTAAAAATTGGAAGTTTATCTCAGTACAGTTCTAAAGAGCTGTGTGATATAACTGTCATAACTCTTATATATACAGTATCTAAATAGTTAATAAACTCCTCAATACAGTATAGTAATGTTTCATTTAAAGAAAAATGTTGATATAATTTGACTGTGTCCCCACCCAAATCTTACCTTGAATTGTAATAATCCCCATGTGGGGCCAGTTAGAGATAATCGAATCATGGAGGTGGTTTCCCCCATACTGTTCTTGTGGTAATGAATAAGTCTCACAAGATCTGATAGTTTTATAAATGGGAGTTCCCCTGCACAAGCTCTCCTGCCTGCTGCCATGTAAGATGTGCCTTTGCTTTTAATTCACCTTCCACTATGATTGTGAGGCCTCCCTGGCTATTTTTAACTGTGAGTCAATTAAACCTCTTTTCTTTACAGATTACCCAGAGTCATGTATGTCTTTTTAGCAGCATGAGAACAGACTAATAGAGTAAGTGGGTACCAGGTAGTGGGTGCTGCTATAAAGATAGCCAAAAATGTGGAAGCAACTTTGAAACTGGATAACAAGCAGAAGTTGGAACACTTTGGAGGGCTCAGAAGACATAAAAATGTGGGACAATTTGGAATGTCCTAGAGACTTGGAGGCCTCAGAAGACAGAAAGATATGGGAAAGTTTGGAACTTCCTTGAGACTTTTTGAATGGCTTTGTCCGAAATGCTGATAGTGATATGGACAATAAGGTCCAGGCTGAGGTGGTCTCAGGTGGAGATAAGGAACTTCTTGGGAACTAGAATAAAGGTTACTCTTGCTATGTAAATAATTGGTGGCATTTCGTCCATGCTCTAGAGATCTGCAGAACTTCGAACTTGAGATAGATGATTTAGGGTATCTGGTGGAAAAATTTCTAAGCAGCAAAGTGTTCACGGGGAAACAGAGCATAAAACTTTGGAAAATTTGCAGCCTGATGATACAATAGAAAAGAAAAACTCATTTACTGGGAAGAAATTCAAACCCACTGCAGAAATCTTCATTAGTCATGAGCGGCCCAATGTTAATCACCAAGACAATGGGGGAAATGTCTCCAAAGCATGTCAGAGACCTTTTAGGCAGCCCCTCCCATCACAGGCCCAGAGGCCTAGGAGGAAAAAGTGGTTTCATGGCCAGGCCCAGGGGCCCCTGCTGTATGCAGCTTAGGGACCTGGTGTCCTGTGTCCCAGCTGCTCCAGGTATGTTGAAAAGGGGACAAGGTACAACTCAGGCCATGGCTTCAGAAGGTGCAAGCCCCAAGCTTTGGCAATTTCCATGTGGTGTTGAGCCTGCAGGTTCACAGAAATCAAGATTTGAGGTTTGGGAACCTCCACCTAGATTTCAGAGGATGTATGGAAACACCTGGATTTCCAGGCAGAAGTTTGCTGCAGAGGTGAGGCCCTCATGGAGAACCTCAGCTAGGTCAGTGAGGACAGGACATGTGGGGTTGGAGCCCCCACATAGAATCCCCACTGGGACACATCCTAGTGGAGCTATGAGAAGAAGGCCACTATCCTCCAGACCCCAGAATGGTTGATCCAATGACAGCTTGCATTGTGCACATGGAAAAACCACAGACACTCAATGACAGCCTGTGAAAGCAGCCAGGAGTGGGGCTGTACCATGCAAAACCATAGGGGCGGAGCTGCTCAAGATTCTGGGAGTCCACTTCTTTCATGAGTGTGTCTTGGATGTGAGATATGGAGTCAAAGGAGGTCATTTTGGAACTTTAAGGTTTGATGACTTTCCTATTGGATTTCAGACTTGCATGAGGCCTACATGTAGCCCCTTTGTTTTGGCAGATTTCTCCCATTTGGAATGACAGTATTTACCCAATGCTTGTAGTTCCTTTGTATCTAGGAAGTAACTAATTGCTTTGATTTTACAGGCTTCTAGGTGGAAGGGACTTGCCTTGTCTCAGATGAGATTTTGAACTATGGACTTTTAACTTAATGCTGAAATGAGTTAAGACTTTGGTGGACTGTTGGGAAGGCATGATTGGTTTTGAAATGTGAGGACATTAGATTTGGGAGGGGACAAATGTAGAATAATTATTTGGCTTCGTGTCCCCACCCAAATCTCACCTTCAATTGTAATAATCCCCATGTGTCAAGGGTGAGGCCAGCTGGAGATAATTGAATCATGGGAGCAGTTTCCCCAATACTGTTCTCATGGTAGTGAATAAGTCTCATGAGATTTGATGCTTTTATAAATGGGAGTTACCCTGCACAATATGTCTTGCCTACTGCTATATAAGGCATGGGATTGTGAGGCCTCCTCAGCCATGTGGAACTTTGAGTCCATTAAACCTCTTCTCTTTATAAATTACTTAGTCTCAGGTATACCTTTATTAGCAGTGTGAAACAGACTAATACAAATGTGTTTGAAAAATAATAAAAGGAGAGCCTATTTATTCTATTATAGTTTATCTTTACTAATCATTCTTTGTGTTCTTCATTCATTTCTAAAGATTTAAGATTCATCTTTTGTCATTTTATTTTATTATGGAGTTCTTGCTTTTGAATTTCATGTGACACTGTTTCCATGATGAATAACTCTTCAAGATTTTATTTAGAAGTAAATAATATCATTTTATTTCTATTTTGTAGGGTGATTTAAATGGAAACAGATTTATATGTTAACTTATTTTTCTTTCAGAATTTAGTGATATCTTTCCATTGCCTTCTGTTCAAATTTTTAAATATATGTGACCTGAGACATAATTTATATCATTGTTACTTTATATTTAATGTAATATGATTCTCTGCTTTCAAGATTTTCTTTTTTTTAATCAGTTTGCTATTATGCATTTACGTTGTTTTTGTTGGTTTGTTTTTTGCTATTTCTTTCTATTTATTTGGCTTTGGATTTGCTTATCTATTTCTTTATTTCTACTTACCTGCCTTTGAATTTGCTGGGCTTCCTGTATATGAAAGTTAATATTTTTCACCAAATTTAGAAACTTTGTATTCTTTTTTTAATCTTATTTTCTTTTTTCTTATCTTTATACCTTCAATGAAACATATATTAGATGTTTAATAGTTTAAAATCTTAGTGATGCTTTTTTATTTTTAAATTTTTTACATACATTCTTCATATTGATTATCTATGAATTACATAGACTCATAGAATCTACCATTATAGATAAATACTTACCCATTCATCTGCTATCTCCTAGCTAATGTTAATCATATCCATTGTAATTTTTTTCAGATCCTGTATAATTTTGTTCTAGAATTTACATTTGGTAACTTTTTATAGTTTTTATTTGTTTAGTGAAGTTACCCAAATGTTAATTCATTGTAATCATATTTTTCTTTAATTTTTAATTGTTAGTTCTAACTCATGTACTGATTCAAGGTCAATTTTTATTGACTGCCTTTATGGTAATTATGGCTTAATGTTTCCTTTCATATCTAATATTTTTGCACATTCAAATATACTTTCAACCAGTCATTAATGAATTGTAGATTTAAGAAACTTTTGATTCAATTTTTTTTTCTGGAGAGTGGTGATTTTTCATCTGCCTGATAGTTACCTTGACTGTCACCTTCTCTGTGGTGGGTAGCAGCTAAAATCTTTTCTCAGTTGTTTTCAAGGTTTTGGTCTTCTGGCTTTTCCTTTTTCTCTTAGAATCTGGTATTCTCTCCTACCTATGTGTGACTTTTCCCACATGAGCAGCTTTGGAAATGCCTAACTTTGTTACTAATAAACAACATGACTGCTTTTTGCTGGATTTCCATTTTGTCTATAGTGTGTAAATCGGCATTTGTCTTTAGGCAAAAAAATCATATAAATGTAAATCTTCCATAGTATACTTCCATTCTTTTAAGGATTTATTCACATCTAGAATTTCTTTCCCTTTTAATTGCTTTAGAGTGTCTTCAGGTATCTGGATTTTTTAAATGTATTTTGTTTAGAGTTTGTGATTGTTATCTGGGTATCTGAAAGCAGAACCCTAAGTTCTGCCTTTTTGTTACAGACATTAAGTCATTATAGTGTTTTTGTCTCTTCTAAGATTTAAGAAAGAAGCATCCTCAATGATTTCAAACTAAACTGTTTTATTATGTAAACAAACACATAATTAGAATAGGAGTAAACTATTGTAATTATAATTAATGAAGCACACCTTCAAAGTGATTACCTAAATCAGTCTAAATTAAATGTCCTGGATACTTATATTAATCATTAGCATAAAATCAAAGCTTTAATGAAGAAATACACTTTACATTTTATTTTGTTTGCATAAAACAAATGACTCCTTTGAGTTTGGAAATCCTAGAATAGTTATTATTGTTGTGACAAACATTGGCAGTTTCTCTAAATGTGTAATGACTATTAGTTTATTTCATATAAAATTTGAAGTACTCATAGGCTATTAAAAAATTCTTAACATTTATGCAAACATAAGATAAATGACTTACTTTATGTTTAACATTTCCCCAGAAGGAAAAAAAGAGTGTTGAAGAATGATAGAAAAAATGGCAATGCTCATAGATTTTTGGCTGTCTCAGAGCAATGCACAGAATATCCATGATTTATGTCTATTATTATCCTCAAATAATATTTCCTGCTACATAAAAAAAAGAAAATCCCTCATTTAATAGTGACTTATTTTTACTAGTCCTTCAATTTCTCTGTTCCTAAGCAACCAAAAGATCTCAGGAAAAAAGATTTGTAACACTTTTACATATATCATACACAGTAATATTCCCCAAATGTGCTCTATCTATCCAATAAAAAATGTTTTTGTGTTTGTATTTTCTAGGATTTACAGGATTGCCAAAATGCTATACAACAAAGTTTTCTATCACAACATATTTTGTAGACATTATTTGAGGAGAAATTTGTTCATGTAGAAGCCAAATTAATCAATTCTTTAAATCTTCTTAAAAGGAACCTGTACTGTGATAATTTAAACTGCCTTTATCTCTTTCCTAACATCAAGTAGTAGTAACACTGACGGTTTAAAGTCCTTCTGCACTATTTCCTGTACCTCCCTAATTCAGCTTTGTTTTTATTTTACACATGCTACTTACTTATTCTCTACTCATATCTTATTAATATTGTCCTCGCCCCTTTAAAAAACAAATAAACAAAAAAACCCAGAAACCTATAACTTTTCCAGCAATCATGGTCCTACTACCTAGTGGAAATCAGATCCAGTTCTTGCAGTTAAGATAAATTTTAGATAGGACTTTGTTATTCAATCCCTGTCCAGTCCTACACCACACATCCCTTAAGCATATCCTCTGCAACAGTGTAATCTGTTAGGAGTTCTATACGTGTTATTTTTTTTTTCTTTTCCTGATACAATTAAGACAAAATTCTGCTTAAAATTTTGAGCATACAAAGAGAAAAAACTATCACTGGAAATGTGAAGAGCAGATACTAATAGTAGAGTGCTTGTCTCAGTTTTATTTTGTTTTTTAATATTTATAGGGGCATGGACAAAAATAAGTTTTCTTGTTTAGTGTCAATATAATGTTCACTTAAAATTTTCTGTTGAGATCTTTAACACTCAGAACTATCTAACTAATGAGATTTTTTGGCAGTAGCAGATTTTTTATGTTTTAGAAATCAAGGCAAAATTGATGTATATGTGTGATTGAAATGGAGGTGTCAGAAAACTAGACATTTTCATTTGACACTGAAATTTAACAAATTTAAGAGGTGTTTAAAAATGTATACTCATGATTTATTTTAGCAAATAATCAGCACTATTTATATCACTGATTTTCTCTCCATTTCTGATTTTGCTTCATTGGAAAACCTACCCTAATCTCTGATCCCCATCTACTCCTATGCTGTATTTTAAAAAAGAAGATAAATTTGTTAGGTAGCTAGGCAGACATAAGCTGGGCAGGCAACTGCCCCCCACCAGGAATGTCGGGCGACCATCAGGTCATGGTTAGGCAGTTGTTAAACTCTCTCTCTAAAATAATAATTGGTCACAGCTGGCACCAGGGACAGTCGCCCAATAGATAGAAAACACCTGAAGCTGGTGATCAGCAGCTTCCTGATAAGATCTGAAGAATTGGGCAAGCAGGCTCAAGCATGTGCACTAAGAGGCAAAAAGGCCAAGTTTATCTGGTATATAGCCTTCCTCTAGGAACACTTGACTGGAAAGGGAGGAACACTTCAAGTGAACTTGCACACAACTTTAGTAAACACACTGTGCATGCAGTCCCTCCCAAGTGCTGGCAGGCCACTGTGCATGTGGACAGCCCGCCACAAGGAAAAATCAAGGGAGGAGAGCTGCAAACTTCGGAGCCATGCCAATGTATAAAATCCCAAGTCAAGGGTCAGATGGGACACTTGGATTTCTCAAGTCACCTGCTTGGCCCTCTTCCAAGTATATTTTACTTCCTTTCATTCCTGCTCTAAAATTTTTTGATAAGCTTTCACTCAGGCTCTAAAACTTGCCTCAATCTCTCTGCCTTATACCTCTTGGTCAAATTCTTTCCTCTGAGAAGGCAGGAATGAAGTTGCTGCAGACCCATATGGATTTGCTGCTTGTAACAAAATCATGCTGTCTCACTTGTGAGACACATTATCACCAGGGAACTCTCACTCTTTATATCTAGGTATGGTCCAACTTTAACCTCCAATTTTACAATATGTGTAAGTCTTAAGTTTTTCAAATTTTCGGCAAATTCCTTGAGTCTTAAATCTTAACATTTTCTCTGACTCAGGGTTTCTTTAATCTCAAATGTTGTATTTATGCCACTCTAAAATAGGACAAAAGCTAGACTGCTATAATAAAAAGATTCCCACAAAATCATTGGTCATTGAAGAAAAACTGTTTATGTCCCATGTAGCAGACTTGCCATGAATGGACCAAGTCTGTGTGTATCCTTATATAATCACTCAATGGTCCAAGTTTCTCTCATGCATGGCTTTGCCATCCTTTAGGGCATTATTGTTGTCTGGGTGGTCAAAGAAGTGACACTGTCTAATCTAGATTCCTGATGAATACATGGAGGAACAGAGGAAAGTAAATTAATGACCTTCTGTCCCGAGGTGTCATTAGCACACAATACTTCTGTTCACATTCACTGGCCAAGTAAGTCTAAGAGCAAGGGAGACTAAGTAATAAAGTATACTGGAAATTTTTGTTCTCAATAACTAAAATCCCAAAGAACAGGAGAACCAATTTTGTGTGTGTGTGTGTGTGCGTGTGTGTGCGTGCATGTGTTTAATGCTAGTAGTGTCAATAGAGTCTGCCTTTCTGACAGATCATAAAACATATGCATAGAACATATTGACCCCCTCCTGAAACGAGAAAAACAAAGTCTCATATAGCTATTACATTTACCTTACTTCAAATATCTCAATAATGCACAAACTTTGCTATCAGTTTACATGTGGCTTCTCTTGACCTAAAAATTTATAACCAAATTTGAATATATAGTGGCTCCAAACTAGTTACTCTTTCTACTATATGATGTGCAGATAACTTTTATAAAAACAATTAATCGAAAACGAGAATACTGGAAAGCAATTATGAGTTGATACCATCTATAAAATTCATCTGGATGGAAATTATGAAAGCTTCCTATCATGTAAAATAAATCTCTTCCTTAGCCTATCTGGCCACCCATGGTTCTCCTTTGGGTCTAATTCCATTACTCCTTTTATTTTGTAAACTATTCCTTTGTGTTCTGTGAAAGTAAATAGGATATAATCATTTTAGTCTACTGTCTTCCATGGTATTTTCTAAAGTAGAAGTTGGAAAATATGCATTTTTCTCATAATCTTTAAGGTGAGCTATGTTAGCCAGGCTTATGACTTCTTTAGCACAATTTCCAAAATTTAGCACACTTCTGTTCTGTTTGCTTTCAGTCAGCATTATGTGCTAGTAGCTGATGCAATACTCAAGCTTACATTATTTTTTTTTGTTTGTTTACTATGTACCCATGTGTTTCTCCCTCATTTTACAGAAAGTTATACTGAGCCATCTCAAACAACAGTTTGTTACATCCTTAATTTTACATTTGGCACCAGTGTACCTCCCATTTTTCTTGCCTTAGCAGTCTTAAGATACTTTCAAAGAGAAAGTCTTTGAGGAACAGCCACATACTCTGTTACTTTGGGAACAGAAACATTTAGGTTTCTGAAGCTATGGGACTCCAAATCTCTGAATTCTGTTTTCTCCCATCACTCTTTACTAACTTTGGCCACTTTGAGCTTGAGCTAAAGTTTTTTCTTTTGCTTCCTTTCTACAAGCAGTAAAGAACAAATAATTGCTCCTAACATTCTAGTTCTTTCTAGACACTTTACCTAGAGCTGCATGCCTGATGTGATAAGGTAGCTATCAAGCCAGAATACATAGGAATTATACTGAATATTTTTGCCACAGCTTAAGAAGTCTCAACAAATCTAGAAGTCCAATTCCAGTTTGCAATATGTTTTGCCTTGCTGCCAAATTCTCAGCAAGTTCCAAATATTTATTTACATTTTTAGTTATATCTCCTGACTTCTAAAATCAATGTTACAATGAAGGAATAACTAATAATACAAAAAGCCCTGCAAATAAGTGTCTGAATTAACACAAATTTTATTTTTCTTTCATTCATCACTCCTAATTTAAGGTAACTGGATTTCTTTTATTTTGGGTTTCCAACACCCTTTAGGCAGGGTTTTCCAACCGATGGTCCATAGAACCCTGGAAGTTTCTGAGACATTTTCAAGAGATCTCAAGGTCAATATAATTTTCTTAATAATAAAACCTTATTTGCATCTTTTCTGAGTTAATATTTACTCATAGACATTGCATTCTTAACCTCCATGCATTACAATTTTAAAAAAGGTTTAAATGCCAAGTGTTGCTCAGAATCGCCTTGATGACTCAGTAAAAATTATTATTATTATTATTAAATTAGAATTATATCTTGGCCATTGGGTGTACATCTTTTAAAAAATATTTTGTGTGACAAAAAGCTAATTACATATGAAGAAATTCTGCTGAGTAGTAAAAAAGGTTGCATCTAGCTAACATAGCTGTATAATTTTATTTTTTTTCATAGAACACCATTTTTACTTGAAGAACAATTGAGATTACCAGTTTCCTATCAGGCTTGTAAGAAGCTTAGAATCCCTCATTCTGTCCTAACCCAAAAAGCTAAGCAAACTAAAAAATCTACTCTTCTTAGATCTCTAAAAAAGGTGAAGTCAAATGGCAAACTCTTGCCCCCAAAATAAGAGAAAGCTACAGGCCAGTAGAGAAGATTACAGCTTACCACAGAGAAGAAACTTGTTAAGGTAGGGAAATGGGAACTGTAACTGACAAATTGCTGGAGGCAGAATGCAGAACAAGTCTGAGAGATGAAAACTCCAGGCAAACCCAGTCCTGAGGCCTCTACTTTTTTCGTGAGTTTTAACTCCTGGATCTTGACAGATTCTCACAGTGAATATCAAGGGAAGAAAAAAAAATCCCTTCATGCATCCAGTAGAAGGAGGGAAAAAGGAACCATTTCGATGTCAGCCAGAGCATTCTGTTTTTCTTAACAATGTCTGTCCTCAGGAGAACCTAAATAACCAGAGCCTAACCTGATGGGAATTTATCAGAGTCTAACTTACCTGAGGGGAGGATAATACCCAACTCCATTCCCCTCTGGCCATCCTGTTGCACCTAAGGGGTAGAAGCAAACAACATAAAAAACTGAGGAGCATTTGTGAAGTTCATAGTGGTATAGGCTCACTGATAGACTAAGACCTAATCAATAGGACTATAGAACACTTCACCTTTCCCCTCACCTTACCACCACATTACTAAAGGTCTATTTTCAGCAATTCTTTTTACCCAGTAGCTCATGTCTGTCTAACAACAAAAAAGTACAATGCATACTAAAAGACAAAAAAGACAAAGAAACAGAGCATCAGAACAAGATATGATATATTAGAATAATCATACATGGAATTTGAAATAAGTATGATTCATATGCTAAGGGATCTGATAAAGCAGACAGCATGCAAGAACAGATGGGCAGTGTAAGCAGAAAAATGTGAAAGACATGCTTGGACAAGATAAAGGAGCATTTCAATGCCACACACACACACACACAAAGTCAGGGGATGAAGTCTAAAACACACTTCAGGATGAACTCCTGCCTCTTAGAAATCAAGGAGTTTATCTCATTTCTGATGACCACACATGGCTCTATTTCAACTGCGATTAGAAACCCCAGAAGAGTTTTTGTTTTGTTATATACATATTTTTTTTAAGTAAATGCAGTATATAAACATTCAGGATTGAACTCAACCTTCTGGAGTCAGCTCCTCTAGAGTAAGGGAGGAGATATTTTTGTTGTTGTTGTTTTGTGGTTTTGTTTAATTTTTAATCACCAGGCAGGTTACATTCATATGCCACTGGAATGACAATAGGGCCCTAGATAGCGATATGACTATAGAATGTAGGACTGGCTCCTGAGAATACAAATAGGTTCTCTTGCTTTTCAATGGCCATGACTTGGCATGCTTTCTCCCTACCCTTACTCAAGTAGGTCCTTAGTAAAAAAAAAAAAAAAAAAAAAAAAAAAAAAAAACAGCGGTAGCAAAAACCTCGGAATTACTACTTCTCAACTCTTTTGGATAAAAAGAATCTTTCCTTGGTTTATACTGAGGGCCCATACCCCAGAGGTACCATTCTAACTAGATCATATAAAGAAAGTGAGAGCGGGAGAAAAAATGGCTACATAAAGATCAGAGCCACTCATTCCTATCTGCAGCTCCAACTTAAAATCCCTGTAGATTTGGTCAGTGTGATGTGTAATAGGGTAAAGCTGCAAAGAAACACTATGAGCAAGTAAGGTATTCCTTGGGATAGTAGCCTGTCTGCTTGCTTTCACTCCTTGACCATGCCCTTGACAGTTACAGCTTGTATGGCTTCATACATGGCCTCCTTGTTTCCTAGGTACTGCATATGTTTGAAGGACTTCTCCCAATTCAATTCATAAACAACAAGAATACTAGTCTGCAGACTAAGCTCTATGGCAGCTTCTTCAGAGCAACCCTCTCTATGTTTGACAATTCCCTGAAGGCTGTTCTGTGGACCACAGTTAGTGTCCAGTTCCCTTCCTTAATCTGAGGAACTATTAATTCTATCCAAAAGGGCAGAACTCTGGCAGTAATGTCCCTCAGACTTTAACAGGGTACTAGCTGTTCTTCTGTGAGGTCTTCATGTCTGTGATCCTCACTGATGTTGCTGTAGAAAGAATGGCCAGGGCTTATCGGAGGTGGTGGGATATCATACGAGCACCTCCAGATCTTCATCTGGATCTCATCCTACTTGACAGCAGTTTCTACTTTATTGACGTTAGGCCCCCAAAGTGCCACTCACCAAAGTGCAAAATCCTTAGTACTGCAGCTGCATTTGATCAATGACATCTAGCACTGTGCAGAGTATTGGAATTGCTCTCTTCTGCACTGAGGTGAGGCAGATGTCAAAGTCATATCCAGAATCTCCCTGTACCTGCCTGCCATGCTTCCCTTCCTCCTGTTCCTCAGGCTTCACATCAGAGTTGTACCAGCTATTACAACAGCTCTGCAGATTCTAGGCATTCTCCTGTACATGGTCAGCAGTGGGTTCAGAATACTGTGGAGACTCTGGGGATGACTTTTTAGATCCAACACCAAAGTCATGATCCATGGAAGAAAGAGTTGATAAGTTGGACTTGATTAAAATTAAATTCTCAGCTCTGTGAAGGGCACTCTTAGGAAAATGAAGAGACATATCATAGACTGAGGGGAAGTATTTTCAAAAGACATCTAACAAAGGACTGTTATCCAAAATATACAAAGAACTACTAAGACTCAAAAATAAGAAAACAATCTTATTTAAAAAAGAGTCAAAGTCCTTAACAGTCACCTCACCAAAAAAGACATATAGATGGCAAATATGCATATGAAAAGATGCTCCACATTATATGTCAAAAGAGAAATGTAAATTGAAGAAACAATGAGATGCCACTGCATACCTATTAGAATGGCCAGAATCGAGAACACTGACCCAGAAAATCCTAATGAGAATGCAGAGCAACAGAGGCCCTCATTCATTGCTTGTAAAAATGCAAAAAAAAAAAAAAAAAAAAAAAAAAAAAAAAACTACAGCCACTTTAAAAGACAATTTGAGAATTTTTTTTTTGTAAACAAAACCAAAAACTAAACTAAACTAAACATAAGGCCACGTGCTGTGGCTCATGCCTGTAATCCCAGCACTTTAGGAGGTCAAGGCAGGTGGATAGCTTGAGCTTAGGGCTAGTGAAACCCCTAGGCCCTAGGAGCCCTAGGAGCCCAGAGCCAACCAGAATAGATATGTATTCTGGTTGTGCATCCAAATTCAGCTATAAAGATGTTATTATGACGGATTTTAATGGACAACTTATCACTATCAAACTCTTTGCCATAGCCTGACACAATAGAAAAATAACAATTTGAGCTCCCTAATTAGATTCTATTCATCATTCACACAAATTTTGTTAGTAGATAAAGCGGCTATTTTTTATGATTCCATATGAGAAGTAGAAGAACATAGTTGTGGAAAACTGCAAACATAACCTAAGATTAGATAATTATCATCTCCAAACTTCCTTATTGGTTGCCCAGCCAGCAGACTATATCAACTCTTGCCCCCTTGCTTTTCAGTGCCCGGTCTCATTGACTTCTTGCTTTCTTTGATCAGTGTGAAGATTAATTTTGTGTGTCAATTTGATTGTGCCATGTTTCCCTGTTCCCTGAATCTCCAATTTTATTGGACTATGGATTTCCAAAGCCTCCACAAGCATATGAAGACAATACCTTAAAGTCTCTCTCTCTCTCTCCACACACATTCACACACACACACACATCCTGCTGGTTCTGTTTCTCTGGAGAACCCTAACTAGTGCAATCAGTGACCACTTTTTGATCCTCACCCCCAGCTTCAAGTTCTTTCCTCACTCTTCTCTACAAAAATTTGATTACCTCTCCTCTTACTCTCAAATGGTAGAGTAAACCCTTCAATATGTTTAATAAACACAGGATTCTCCTTAATAGTATCTACTTGGAGGAAAATCTGGGTTACAGAAAAAAAATTATGGCAAAATTTTACATCTGCAAGCTTTGCTCTGAGTTTAAAAGTTGCTGAAAGCGTAATATTTTTGGGGTCATGATTTACAAATAATTGGGAAAAACCTACAATTATAAAATTCTATGTTGCCTGATGAAAATTTAGACATTTTATTTTAAAGAGGCTAAAAATTTAAAAATTTCAAGGTTTTCAAAGAACTTTAAAGATCTTTGAATATATGTGAAACTTTTATCTGTGACTTTCAGATACTTAACCAAAAATATGCTGCAGAACATTATTTATTCTTAATTTATTATCATGAACATATTATGCAAAATATGCTAATGACATTGTCTTTTATTTTCATTCATTAATTTGTGTGATGGTTAATATCGAGTTTAATTGGATTGGATTGAAGGATGAAAAGTATTGTTCCTGGGTGTGTTTGTGAGGGTGTTGCCAAAGGAGATTAACATTTGAGCCAGTGGACTTGGAGAGGCAGACCCACCCTCAATCTGGGTGGGCACCATCTTTTTTTTTTTTTTTTTTTTTCGAGACAAGAGTCTCGCTCTGTCGCCCAGGCTGGAATGCAGTGGGGTAATCTTGGCTCACTGCAACCTATGTCTCCCCGGTTCAAGCGATTCTCCTGCCTCAGCCTCCTGAGTAGCTGGGATTACAGGTGCACCACCACACCAGGCTAATTTTTGCATTTTTAGTAGAGACGGGGTTTCACTGTGTTAGCCAGGGTGGTCTTAAACCCCTGACCTCGTGATGCGCCCGCCTTTGCCTCCCAAAGTGCTGGGATTACAGGCGTGAGGCACTGCGCCTGGCCAGCACTATCTTAATCATTGGCCAGTGCAGCTAGGATAAAGCAGGCAGGAGAAGATGGAAGAGCAGACTGGCTGAGTCTTCCGGCCTTCATCTTTTTCCTGTGCTGGATGCTTTCTGCCTTCGAACATCAGATTCCAAGTTCTTCAGCTTTTGGACTCTTGGACTTACACCAGTGATTTGCCAGGGGCTCTCAGGCCTTTGACCACAGACTGAAAGCTGCACTGTCAGCTTCCCTACTTTTGAGGTTTTAGAACTTGAACTGATTTACCACTTGCTTTCTTGCTCCTCAATTTGCAGATGGCCTATCCTGGGACTTTACCTTGTGATCCTTAATAGACTCCCTTTTGTATATATACATATATCCTGTTAGTTCTGCCCCTCTAGATAACCCTGATTACTACACTTTGGAATTCCCATTGTGTATATATTATATATATATTAAATATATATATATTTATATATTGTCTTTATTCTCTATTAATCTTTTCACATATTTTTCTCTCTCCTTTCCCAGAATCCCCTACATATACTAATAAATGAATGAAATAAACGATATTTACTGAGCTTATTCTTAAAACTTTGCATTTATTTTTAACTAGATATTATATATATTTTTCAAAAAGACAAAATAAGAAATTTTTTTTTTTAGTTTTTTTTAGATGACTGTACTTTCTTGGTGTGGGTATTCTCTCCCCCCCCCCACTTCCTATGCACAGTTTGTGTGTGTTTGTGCATATGGATATGTATGCATTTTTACAGCAATATAGTGGATGTTATATTACATTACTAATATTTTTCTAATTGATACGTTTTTAAAGCTCTTATTGTATCTACTCTTAAAAATATATGCTCAAATGAGGATTTATTTTATGAAAGATTCTTTACAAATACTGTCAATACATTTGAATATATTCAGCAATCTTTTTAGCACACTTGCAAAGCAAGTTTGCACTGGGCTGGTATTTGATACGCCTGATAAAAATAAAATGTGGTCACTTCCCAAATGTCTCTAATATAATAAAATTCACTTTTCTCAGACTGCCATTTTATTTTAATTTGCATAAAATGCAGATTTTAAAATAAAGAATATCAGCTTTAATTCAATGGGAATCCTCATCTTAGATTGAATATGAAAAAGTGCCATGTATGCTTATCAATCAGTACACCTATAGATTTTAAACACAATCTTTTCAATAGTTGTTGAGTTAAAAAGTCCAATTGCAGATATACAAACACCCCAAGACAAGAAATACATCTATCTCTTTTCTTACTGTCATTTCATCTTTTAGTTTCAACTAAAAATTATGCTATAAATTCACATATCCATATTTGAGTAGCATTTGTGATTATTATTGGATATTTCAAATTCACCCATCTTTTGTCTGATTCATATTTGAAAGATATGGTAATTAGCTTTGCTATAGTAAAGGTTACTTTTAAGTATTAAATTTCATTTATCTTTTGATTTTATGTGGTATATTTGATTAAATTGTCATGATTTATACTCATATAAATTTCTATTTTTTGTGTGATTATTTTATTACATTTATCACTTCTATATCCAAAATACATTCTGAGCCATGTGCTCATTTTTCTCAAGTCTTACCATTTCTATTTTCTAAAGAATACTTCATTTTCTCTTAGTTTTATCAAGTTATCACTGTGTGTCCTTCTGATATAGTATGATGTATTTTGAAATTACTTGTTCACATGATATGTAATATTCTGCACATTTTCTCACATTTTCCTAGTTATGTTTAAGAAATTTGTTTTCCATAGACTTGTTAGACATATAACTAACTCCTGAAATTCATTTATACAATTTTACTTAACACGTCTCTTTACACATTTTTCTGGGCTTATATTATTTTGTGATTAAGTCAGTTTATCCTTGTTTCTTATTAAGACTTTGAAGGATTTCAGTCTTGGATTTAATCTTAATATAGTGCAAAGAGAGGATACAAATTTGTTTTTCTTGACTTACCCTCCAGATACATAATTCTTAATTTGAAAACACATAAGTACTGTTGAATATTTTTACTTTGTCTAGGTATTTTTATGTCAACTCAACTTCTGAAATAATCAGCATCAATCACTTTTTAATCATATTTTCTAAATTTGCATTTTTTATTTTTTAATTTTTGTGGGTACATAGGCATATATATTTATGGGGTACATAAGATATTTTGGTAAAGGCATACATGCATAATATTCACATTATGAAAAGTTGAATATATTCATCCCTAAGCATTTTTGCTTTGTGTTAAAACAACTCAATTATACTCTTTTAATTATTTTTAAATGTACCACATTTTTTTCAATATCAATTGAGCAAAGTCATCTGTATTTATCTACACCTGACTTAAACTGAGCTGATTTGCAGCCAACTGTGATATAAAATTTGGATCTCTGATTTTGAAATAGTATCTTTTTTTGGGCACAACTTTAAGAGTTTTTATTTTTGGCAAATCCATTGAGAGATAATCCTGTTTGGCTGCTGCTTATTTGACATTGGTTGGCTTACCTTGTGGTTGGCAGAATAAATTGAGGCTACTATGAAAAAATGTACAAACATGATATCAAAATACATTGGTCATATAATAGTATCAGCTATAATATATCTGGATTAAAATATCTAAAGACAAATTTCTTAATTTTTTTCTTTGACTTGGAAAATAACAAAGTTGTCATTTTAGTAACAGTCCTAAAAATATTCTAGCAATATCTAAAATAACACATAAAGTAACCAATTAATAATACCATTTTATTATTTAGTTACCTTAAATATATTACAATATATTTAATGTCAATTTTATATCAAAGTAAAAATACAGAAATAATAAGTTTCACTATAGATCATTTAAAGCTACAAAGTTCCCTAGGGACTAAATACAAATAAAAACAAAGCAACAACAACAACAAAACACCAGCAACTAAAACTGCTTGGAATGACAATCTTTTCTTTTTTAATTTCCTGTAGCAATGTGTAAATAAGCTTTGGTTTTTATGCTAGCAAATACAAAATCAACAGACCTTCTTTTTCTGGACACAGATGCCTGCTTAATGAATTTGGAACTGGCATTGCCACAGGTGCAAAGAGTCTAGGAATGCTTAATTGCTTGTTCTTGCAAAGCCCTGGCAGACTAAAACCAATATGTTTTACTTGCATGTGTCACTTAGAGAAGCTTGCTTATTCAAGCATGGTCTACATCTCTTCTACCTTTGCATGTCAACATGTCTTGACAATAAGATTGTGCTGGGCATTTAAAGTAGTAAAGAGCTTGCCAGTTATTATAAGAAAATGACTAAACCAAGTATAATATTGACTGGCTAACATCAGGGGTTCAACTTTTTACTACTTAGTCTTTCTCATCATACTTAAATATTGTATCTGAGAAGTCTATAAAAACTATTTTTATTTTTTGTTTTATAATATCTTTTGTTAAGCCAATGTTGACCAGTAAATTGTGCATTATTTGTATGAGTTTATTTTCCAGATGATTCTGTATACTTCATAAATTGTCTATTCTGGTTGGGTAATGAAAATTACTATTTAATAAATAAACATCAGAGCAGCTTAGCGTATACTATTTTCATGTTTAAATATAAAACTATAGATATAACCTGCTAAAACCTTTAGTTTAGCCTCAGTAACTAAGGTAGACTAAAAAAGTGAAATTGAGGAATAAAACAAGAAACTGATATGTGGCTTCTCAAAGGGAAGTTTTGCTGTTTACTGACATAATTTTCATAGAAAAATAATAGTACTTACAACCCTTTGATAACTAATATAAATCATGGTGTTGTGCATACTCATATGCATGTACCTATAAGTATGTTACATAATATTCATTACGAATCACATTAAAATAAGTAATATACATTAAGTGAATGTAATTTTAATTTTAATTTGTTTAAAATATGTTTTAAAATCATTCAAGAAAAGAAGAAGATAAATGTATTATAAAAATTGAAATGTTAGGCCAAATCGGATTATATTATGAAGGAATAAGATTTTTTTCTCACAAATGGTTTTCATTTATGGCAGAGAAAATGTGAGTTGATAAACAGGAGTGCCTTCAGATAAGCCATAGATACAGTATAATTACATATGCTACCATGAAAACATCTAATCTTTATGTTTAATGACACAATTTTGTGTTCCCTCTAAAACAGAAAAATAATTTATGTTTTAAGAAAAGATGCAAACTTTTCAAGACTATATCAATATTTGGCACATTTTGGCAGGATAGGTGAGTGATTTTCAAATTTCTGCAATGAAAAGGAGATGAAAACAAAAGAATTGAGAACTTTATTTGAATTCAAAATAAATGCCTATAAGAAAAGAAGGAAGAGGAAGAAAGTCTTGGGAGGAATCATGAAACATCTAAGGAATCACCATACTATTAATGAAAGATTCACAAGAAATGCATGAAGCCAAAAGGAGTTGTAGTTTTGAACTTTTATCATATTAGTATTCCAAAGCATTGCTTTGAACAAATACCTGGGCTTTATGAGATACTATTATTATTGTCTAACATTTTTCTCTTAAACATTTATTTTTACCTCTAGAAGAATCTCTTCTTACTGACAGTACCCTTTCCTTTGCATTTAATGTATTATCTTTTTGATTACGCTTGATGTGGTTATCTCTGCACTTGTGCCCCATATACATATATTTTCACACACACATAAAAAATAATAATCTCTATATAAAACATTTTACAGAGAACAATTTGATATAAATGTATTTACTGTTTACTTTTGATCCAGAATTGTTTTCAGTATTCTGTTTTCATATAATATTTCTTCTTTATTACTACCTAATATCCTATCAAAAACATCCCTGTAAATTCTATACTGTAATCTGCAATAATCTTTTGCTGATAAAAATTATATAGCAAGAAACATCCTAATTTGTGTCTCTATATTCCTCTGTGCAAGATTTCTCTGGCATTAGTTATACATATGTTTAATAATATGCCTTGTTACACAAAGCTGAATAATTACTAAAAGATGTGGATCTTGGAAAAGGGTAATACAATTAAGAAATGAATAAGAAAAATGTTAATGTAGCTAAAGCCAAAATGATGAGAAAATAATAAGATAGTGAAGCAGACTCTCTAGTAATTTATCTAGAGTCATTTTACAAAGGGCAACAGGAATAAAAGGATGATGCAACCTTTAGATAAAATCATACAGACTAAAGAAACATATACAGAAAGAGAATGTTTAAGAATTTCTGTGGACTAGATATAGACCTTCACATAAGAATAAGGCTATATATAATATATGAAACAAAAATTAAGGAGTATGACAAATCTATGAGGTAAAAGCAACTGAAAATGCATTGCAAAATTTACTAATATTGGAAAACCAGATCAAAAAGGGCATTTTAAAAATTAATTGTCAGTAAAACAAAAAGTTCTTAGAATAAATATAATGCCAAAATATAGGAGAGTTAGCTTCTCTTGCAAGAACATTCTGGAAATAAAATAATTTTTTTTCAAATAGCAATTATGAAAGATTATGTTGCTATTTAGACAGAAGTATAATTTCTTCAAAATTAGAAAGATAGTCTAAGCTAGATTAGTTGGCTATAAAAAAACTGTAATATTTTTAAAAATTTAAAATTATGGATGAACTGTGAAAAACAGTAAAAAGTTAAACATTAGTTAAACAAAATCCCACTGCATAAAAATAATTAGGAAACAGCAAATATTCAGGAGTATATTTTGAATAATATGTACTCTTTGACAGAAGTTTTATGCATTTAATGAGAGTTCCGTTTGCATTTTAATACATGATTATGTTCATTTTTAATAAAAGCCTGTGAATAAAATATATCTAATTTTCAAATAATAATTAAATGTGACTATTTTTTGCACTTTTAAATTAAATGTGCTTTGCATACTAAAAGTTAGTCATTTTAGGGCAACCAAAATATGAAGTATAAGATAAACCTGTTATTCTATTTTTCCTCTTTCTCTTTTCTTCCCAGGAAATTGTCAATGTAAAGGTTTACTTTTGCTAGCTATGTGCTATGAGTTATTTAGCCTTCCCAAGTTATTTTCTATCATTTAAGTAACAACACTACTTAAAATAGCCATGAAATTGATCTCTGCTGAGTAACAAAAAGCAAAGCAGAGCTTGGGAAACTTCTTTTAGTGCTGTGTATTTGTTAGTTGAGAAGGGTGAGAATTGATTCCCTGCCAAACCTAAATTTGACATTACTTTTATAAGTGACACAACTGGAAATGGTCTCAATTTTCATTGATTCATTTAAAAAATTCTAAGATCATTAATTACTTTGAACGTTATAGATATTAATTAATAATTTTGTTGCCCCTTTTGTCTATTTAAAATTTGTATTGTATAAATATTGTAATTTAAATTACATTTATAATGGCTTATATAAAATGTGACAATTCTTCCATTTATCTCAATGCATGTTTAATATTTTATTGAAATTTTGAGATGCTTTTCTCATGTAAGCAGACAGTTTTTGATATCACAAAATAGATTTTGAATCACTTTTGTTAAAAACAACTAACCACAAAAGAGGTATACAGTTTTTAAAAATTCTGGAGTGTTTCTGCATGAACCAAGTTTACACCTACTTCCCTAGTTGACTTGGAGGCAATTGTGATTAATGCAGGAATTGCCCTATATCTGAATAATTCTAAAGGCCCATTTCACTGCCAGAGTCCTCTGCTGGGATGACTGAGGGCTTCATTGAGACTGTATTTTTCTCCCTCTGCCCAATCCTGATTCTTTTATATATCATCCATGACTGTGGATCCTAAGAGAACGTAGGGGAGCAGGACTTAATGTCAGGTATAGAAAAGTTCCAAAAGTTAAGCTCACAATGAAAGTAGCCCTGACCTCTTAAGGTCAGAGATTGGAAAAGAATGAGATACAGGATGGTAAGATCTGGATTGATACACCTGAAAATCTTGAATCTCCAGATTCCTTTGAATGTCATGACCCTCATTCTTTCTTTTTTTTTTTTTAATTATACTTTAAGTTTTAGGGTGCATGTGCACAACATGCAGGTTAGTTACATATGTATACATGTGCCATGCTGGTGTGCTGCACCCATTAACTGGTCATTTAACATTAGGTATATTTCCTAATGCTATCCCTCCCCCCTTTCCCCCACCCCACAACAAGCCCCAATGTGTGATGTTCTCCTTCTTGTGTCCATGCATTCTCATTGTTCAATTCCCACCTATGAGTGAGAACATGCGGTGTTTGGTTTTTTGTCCTAGCGATAGTTTGCTGAGAATGATGGTTTCCAGCTTCATCCATGTCCCTACAAAGGACGTGAACTCATTATTTTTTATGGCTGCATAGTATTCCATGGTGTATACGTGCCACATTTTCTTAATCCAGTCTATCATTGTTGGACATTTGGGTTGGTTCCAAGTCTTTGCTGTTGTGAGTAGTGCCGCAATAAACATACGTGTGCATGTGTCTTTATAGCAGCATGTTTTATAATCCTTTGGGTATATACCCAGTAATGGGATGGCTGGGTCAAATGGTATTTCTAGTTCTAGATCCCTGAGGAATCGCCACACTGACTTCCACAATGGTTGAACTACTTTACAATCCCACCAACAGTGTAAAAGTGTTCCTATTTCTCCACATCCTCTCCAGCACCTGTTGTTTCCTGACTTTTTAATGATCGCCATTCTAACTGGTGTGAGATGATATCTCATTGTGGTTTTGATTTGCATTTCTCTGATGGCCAGTGATGATGAGCATTTTTTCATGTGTCTATTGGCTGCATAAATGTCTTCTTTTGAGAAGTGTCTGTTCATATCCTTTGCCCACTTTTTCATGGGGTTGTTTGTTTTTTTCTTGTAAATTTGTTTGAGTTCATTGTAGATTCTGGATATTAGCCCTTTGTCAGATGAGTAGATTGCAAAAATTTTCTCCCATTCTGTAGGTTGCCTGTTCACTCTGATGGTAGTTTCTTTTGCTGTGAAGAAGCTCTTGAGTTTAATTAGATCCCATTTGTCAATTTTGGCTTTTGTTGCCATTGCTTTTGGTGTTTTAGACATGAAGTCCTTGCCCATGCCTATGTCCTGAATGGTATTGCCTAGGTTTTCTTCTAGGGTTTTTATGGTTTTAGGTGTGACATTTAAGTCTTTAATCCATCTTGAATTAATTTTTGTATAAGGTGTAAGGAAGGGATCCAGTTTCAGCTTTCTACATATGGCTAGCCAGTTCTCCCAGCACCATTTATTAAATAGGGAATCCTTTCCCCATTTCTTGTTTTTGTCAGGTTTGTCAAAGATCAGATAGTTGTAGATATGCGGCATTATTTCTGAGGGCTCTGTTCTGTTACATTGGTCTATATCTCTGTTTTGGTTCCAGTATCATGCTGTTTTGGTTACTGTAGCCTTGTAGTATAGTTTGAAGTCAGGTAGAATGATGCCTCCAGCTTTGTTCTTTTGGCTTAGAATTGACTAGGCAATGTGGGCTCTTTTTTGGTTCCATATGAACTTTAAAGTAGTTTTTTTCCAATTCTGTGAAGAAAGTCATTGGTAGCTTGATGGGGACGGCATTGAATCTATAAATTACCTTGGGCAGTATGGCCACTTTCACGATATTGATTCTTCCTACCCATGAGCATGGAATGTTCTTCCATTTGTTTGTATCCTCTTTTATTTCATTGAGCAGTGGTTTGTAGTTCTCCTTGAAGAGGTCCTTCACATCCCTTGTAAGTTGGATTTCTAGGTATTTTATTCTCTTTGAAGCAATTGTGAATGGGAGTTCACTCATGATTTGGCTGTCTGTTTGTCTGTTATTGGTGTATAAGAACACTTGTGATTTTTGCACATTGATTAATTGTCCCTTTTTGCAGACGACATGATTGTATATGTAGAAAACCCCATCGTCTCAGCCCAAAAGCTCCTTAAGCTGATAGGCAACTTCAGCAAAGTCTCAGGATACAAAATCAATGTGAAAAAATCACAAGCATTCTTATACACCAATAACATTCTTTCAATTTGATGGCTAATGCATTCTCATTTTTTTCTGAAGACTCTTCTCTGTAAGATAGCATATGCCTTCAGGAAAATTATTGATTTTCTGATTGTTAGGTGAAGTTCAATTATATTTATTTAATCAAGCTTGCAATTTATGTTATTCAAGTATGCTTGAGTATTTTATTTTCTATTGAAAGGATAATATTTTGTACTTAAGTGTTTTATTTTCTATTGAAATGATAATGTTTTCTACTTAAGTATTTTATTTTCTATTGAAAGGATAATATTTTGAATATTTTATTTTACTATATTGGATTTGTCATTTCTTACCATTTTACTTTTATATATTTAATTTTGTATTTTTCAATGTATAAGTGTTTATCATTACAGTAGATTCTTGGTAATTTGTATATTTAATCAATGTGAGTATTTTTGTTCATGCTATTATTAATATAAACTTTTTTAAAATCCCATTTCATCTGACACGAATATTAATACACGTGTTTTCTTGATAATCTCATTTGCTTTCTGTATCATTTTCCATTCCTTAATTTTCAACTCTTGTTCAATCCTTTTTAGATGTCTCTTAAAGCTAGCACAAACTAAATTTTTTTATTTAACCCATTTTTCTGTGCTTTGTAATAAAGGAATTTTAGAGTTATGTGGGGTTTTATTCCATAGTTTTGTTCATTTCATAAATGTATATGAAAAAATTTACCTCAAATGACACCTCACAGGTTTATTTATTTTCTTACCAATGGGTATGAGTTGAATTGTGTCAACTTAAAACTCATATATTGATGTCTTATCCCTTGGCACCTAAGAAAGTAACCTTATTTGAAAATAAGGTCATTGTAGATAAAATTAGCTAGGATGAGGCTACACTGGAGTGGGTTGGGTCCCTAATCCAGTGTGATTGTTGTCCTTATAAAAAGAAAAAATTTGGACACAGATGCACATAAGGAGAAAATTATCAAAGATGAAGGCAGAGGTTGGGTGATGATTCTACTATTCCATAAATGCTAGATTTTGCCAGCAAACCACCAGAAGCTAGGGATGAGGCATAAAACTCATTGTTCCTCACAGCCCTCAGAAGGAAACAGCTATGCAGATACATTGATCTTGGACTTCTGTCCTTCATAACTTCAAAAACAAATTTCTGTCATTTATGCCCAGTTTGTGGATATTCTCTTATGGCAACCCAAGCAAAGTAATATATGACTCACTATGTTTTTAAACGCATTTTCCCTATTTTTTGCATCCTTGCCAGTATTGGCTATTTTTTTTCTTTTTGATAACAACCATTTTAACTGGGTTGAGGCGATATCTCATTGCAGTTTTGATATTCATTTCCTTGACAAACAGTAATGTTGAGGATATTTTATATACCTCTTGGCCATTTGTCCATATATTTTTTGAGAATTTTTTATTCAGATCATTTGCCCATGGTTTTAGATTATTCTTTTGTGTTGAGTTTTTTATATATTCTGGTTATTAGTACCTTGTTAGATATGTAATCTGCAAATATTTTCTCCCATTCTGTAGGTTGCTTTTTACTCTCTTTATTGTTTCCTTCACTGTGCAGAAGGTTTTTGGTTTAATCTAATCCTATTTGTCTATGTTTGCTTTTGTGGCTTGGGCTTTTGAGGTCTTACCACAAAGAATGTTTGTGCAGACCAATGTCTTGAAGTGTTTCCTCAAAGTTTTCTTCCAGTAGTTTCATAGTTTAAGGACTTACATTTAAGTCTTTTTGGAAAATAGTTTGGAGTACTCCTCAACAAACTTAAATTAAAATGTCATATGATCCAGAAATTCTACTGTTGGGAATAAATGCAAAAGAAATAAAATAACTTTGTCAAAGAAATATCTGCATTCTTATGTTCGTTGCAGCACTATTCATAGTAGCCAAAATATGGAATCAACGTAAGTATCCTTCAACAGATAGGTACAAAAATGTTGTATATATACACACTGCAATATTATTTAGCTATAAAAAAACAAAATTCTGTTCTTTGCATCAACATGGATGAGCCTGGAGGACATTATGTTAAGTGAAATAATTCAGGCACAGAAAAACAAATATTACATGTACTAACTCATATGAGGGAGCTTAAAAAGTTTCTTTCAAGGCGTCGGAGAGTAGAATGATAGTTACCAGATGTTGAAAAGGATATGAGAAAGGGGAAGATAGAGAGAGGTGGGTTAGTGTGTAAAAAATATACAGTTAGATGGAAAGAATAAATTCTAGTGTTCCATAGCACAGTAGGGTGACAATAGTTAACAGCAATTATAGTAGATTTTAAAGATAGCTAGAAGATTTAGAATGAGAACACAAAGAAATAATAAATGTTTGAGGCAATGGATATTCTAATTACCCTGTTTTGATTATTAACATTGTATGCATGTATCAAAATATTATAAGAACCCTATAAGTATGAAGAGTTATATATTAACTGTCATTTTTACGTTTTCCTTTCTGCTTGTCTTTAGCCCATTCAATTATTCTGCCACACACTCCTGTGTAAACCACCCTATCTACTCACTTCCTATTTTCTTATTTTGGCAATCAAGATTGCCAAAACTATCCTTATGACAAAATGAGCCCCTGGCCATCATTTTCATCTTTTCCAGTTTATCCTCCATATCACTTGCATTTTCAAAACTCATAGAACAATATTCAGGCTTATCGGTTCAACTTTTACTTCAGTTTTCCACAGCTGATATGATTATATCTATTGGAATCTTTGGAATTCATTCTCGACCATCTATGCTTCTAATGATTTGTACTATCCTCAAGTAAATTGATCTCAGATAGAGTTTAAAGTTTTTGTTTTATGTGATGCATGAAGAACCATGTCTTTCAGCATGTGTTGCTCTGATATTCTATGTACAAAACAATTTTTAAAGCTTTGTCAAAGGCAACTGGGCATATTTGGAGATATTTTAAATCATATTTTGCAGTTGCATTATTTTTTAAGAGCTATGCTCTTTTGGATGGACATAGAGAAATGAAAATCTTAGGGTAGTCCAGGTGAGTACTTGCTTCTGATTCTTACAACTCTGTAATTTTACATTTTATGTTATACTTTTGAGTGGACTGAGAGTACCAATGAGATAAAGCTTTCAACTAGATTATTTGGAAATGCCTATCTGTTTTTTTTTTCAGGGCTAAGCATTGGTTAATAATGTAAATATGAATATTAAGCCAAGAAATAGGTTTCTCAATTCAGACACACAAAAGTGTCTGAATTATTTAGTGACAGAAAATCTTGGTACACTGTCACTTTAAAAACAAAGCTTACAAGGCTGAAGATATATCTTATTTTTTTCCTATGGATTGTCGTTTTCATATTAAGAGAATGTAAATCAGGAATGTTTACTTCATTGAAATTATAACGTCCAAGGCCAATTTCTTCATAATAGTGTTTACTTCAGGCTATTCATAAAACAAAATCAATCATATTGAGTAACAAATTTGTTATTTTATTTTACTTTCACATTGGTTTCTGTATATTAGGACAATAATGACAGAAAGAGAGAGATGAAGCAAAACAAAAACTTCAATACTTTTCTTTAACGTAAAGAACTTTCTACTTTAGATATTTGGAGGTAAAATTCACTCTTTTATAATAATTATTCCTCAGAAGTCTTAAAATATTTAAGATATTTTTAAATTATTATTAAATTAGACATATCACCTATATTTTTAAATGAGTTTATGTGTCTTTATGTATGTGTGTGTACATATGTATTTATATGTATGTGTATTATTTATATATTTATAAAATAAAGATACTATTTAAAAATAAAGATATATCTAATTTAATGTTTCCTACTTAATTATAATTATGTATATATACAATTTTTATATATATAATATTTTAGAGATGGGGTCTCACTCTGTCCCAGGCTGGTCTTGAAATATTGGGCTCCAGGGAGCCTACTGCTTCAGCCTTCCCAAGAGCTGGGATTACACTCACGCACCATCATACCCAGTGTACTCTGTTATATTTTAAACATAGTTTTTACACTATATGGTATTCCTAACTGCATGAAATATATATCCTATTATATTTCCCTTTAGGGCATTATGTTAACCAGGATAAATTGATGAGAAGCACAATGGTAAATAAATTAATAATGACACATAAAATTTCTTTGAATTCATTGATGTGAAAAGAGATTCTAAATAATACTCTGGGTATGCTGAGTATTATGCATAAATCATTCTTTTTTGACCCTATTTAACAGAAGTTTTATTAACTGATATAATAATTTTCTTAAATCCATCAACAGGAAATGAATTTCAACGTAATGTAAACACCCACGCTCTTGGCAGAACTACACTGCCATCTATAGTTTTAGTCCCTGGGATGTTAGTGTGTGGATTTTAATCTGTATTTATTCTCTAATTGTTCTTTTGAGAAATAAGCTATTATATTTTATCTCTAGTTTCTTTTGAATGAAATTATCGAGCACATTTTGTGCATGTTTGTCTGGATTTGCATATTATATGTCATATTTTTCATATTATCGCAAGCTAAGCATTCTCAAATTTAAAAATGTCCTGCAGCTCATTAATAAATAGGAAACTGAAATAGTACAAGGAAACTGAAACTTATATTTCAGTTATATTTTGAGATAGTGATAACATTTGGGGTTAAAATACACAATAATTCAGAGATAATGTTTTTACTCATTAGTAAGACTTTTCTATATCAATAATTTAGTGACATGAATTAGCTAAGTAGAATAAATCAGTTGTGACAATATTTATTAAGCTCAAATCTCTTCTGAGTAACTCTAAAATAAGTTCCTACTTCAGATATGGGTTTTGCATAGAAGGACCACTAAGGACTTTCTTTTCTCTGGTGTACATTGTTGTTGAGTAAAAGCACTTACTAAAATTTTAAGCCTTCTGTGAAGCTGTACTAGTTGGTTGCTGTGATTAGCACTTCCTTTCAAGTTGAGTAATGTTATGAGACCAACTCTCTCCCTTAGTATTAAAACAACAACAGGCTTAATAATAAAGCAGTGCAATAAAGTTCAGTCAATAGTTTGCAAACATGTTTTCCCTGAAGAAGAATACCATTTTTTTGTGAGGAAAAAAAAAAAAAAAAAAAAACTTCTCTGGGACCATGGTGGAAAGACAGAGGAGTGGAGTGATCATAACCTATTAATTACTTTTATGAACTTATCTATCTTTTTTCTTGATTTACCTGTTTTCAGAGACTGCATTTGTGTATGCTGTGTATTCTATAAAATGTACAAATCAAAATTTTCACAAACTTGTTCAGAGTTTTTTAAACCTGGACAGATTCAGGTATAAAATTTTGCATATTAACTATTAGAGCATCTAGCTCTACTTGTAAGCCATGTTGATTGAGATAACTGCAGGAGGTAACTCAAGATAGTTTCAACTTTTTGCCAGTGCCCTAGGTTCTTGTAATCTTCCAGGATATAAATAAGAGAGATTGCGAGACGTAGCAACGAGAAGAAAGTTTATTTAACTTGTGCACAAGGGAGCCAGCACAAAAAAAAGGGAACAATTGGGGCTGCTTCCTGAAAGCTGTGCGGGATTCAATTTTACGGGGCTCTCCTATGGGGACGGATGATGTCAGGGCATGTATAGGAAGGCTTTTTCTAGCATTTACGCAGTGGCTCAGTTTGCTTCTACATACATTGCGTGTATCATTAGCGTTTTAAATCTTCATCTTGTGGCATAATTTTTAGCATTAAAATGAGGAAGGCCTAATTATAATTTGAAATATGAATCTAACTGCACATAAAAGGGTCCCTGAGGAAGTCCGCAGCCCCCTGAAAGGAGGAACTTGTGGTTAGTGGCTTCTTGAGTCTTTTGTTGGTGATTGGCTGGAAGTTAGGTCAGCCACAGCTTAAGTAGAGGCTTTTGTTCTTTTTCTCCAAACCACATTAAAAGAGAAAACAAGATAGCCTGCCTATCTCAAATCTATTTTTCTATTTTCATTCAGTTCTGCAATTTTACATATGATCCTTATGCAAATGATTTATAAACTACTGAATTCAAGGCATAACAGATGTTAGTAAGGGAAGGTGTTTAAAACGTGGAACTTGTAACTGAGCTTTACAAGGAGAGTGAGGAGAGGAAGGGATGATTAGAATGCACAAGGTAGATGCCTGAACTGTATTGAGATATTGTTGAAGTCACAACAGTTGTTTTCTATCTGAGTAAGAAACCAAAAAGGATAAAATATTAAGTTTGAGAGTGGGAAACCCTATATCCAAATTCAGGACATGAATAAGTGAGTTTGTAGGGAGTTCTACTTGGGAAGATTTTTGGAGTTCAGAAAGAAAGGAAATGAAGTGGATTTGATACTGTGTAGATTGTCTTTGCTGCTATTTGAGTCATTCTAGATAATAGTAGGTCATGCGATTGAAAAGCAAGATTAGGTCAAATTCCAAACTTTTCACTGAAGTGAGGTTTTAAAGAAATGAATAGATAAGAAGGGTATGGAAATATAGTCATACAACCAGAATTGTATCTGTCTCAAGGGAGTAGTGTTAGTTTTAAGAAGACAGAGCAGGATTGATCTGATATTTTCATTGAGAAGAAAGAAGACACGACCACATGACCCTGATGTATGTGAGATACTGTAAAATAACCATCTTCACCTTAAGAATGCTGTAGGGAAAGAAAATTTCAGGGAAGTGGGCCACAGTTCAGTTAAGGTATGCAATTGGAGAGGACATTGATAGAGGATTGAGTATATAAGAGTTCTGTAATTAGCACAATGTTAAGAGAGATATAAGTCCATGATTTGGGGAGAGAAAGAGAGTATAGAAAAGAAAACAGAAATCACTAAGAACATATAAATAAAAATATTAAAAATTATTTGAAAGAAAAGTAGTCAGTAATATATTACAAAGGAAAGTCAAGCATGGTGGATTTAGAGTGACTTTTCTCAAACTTATGGATATTTATACTTCACAAAATTGAAATAAAGTCTTTAAGGGTGATCTTGTGGGATTCGGTGTTTGTTTAAACTTGGTCTACTGTTTCAGGCAGTGATGATGACAGACAGATGCAAGATTGGCATTAAGAGCTGAAGTTCAAACTCACAATGTTGAGTTGGGAGAACAAGTAAATAGGAGGAGTGGTGTCTGAAATATATGAATGAATGGCAAAGTAGGGGGAATTTTCTTGAGAAGCGTATATAGAGCAAAATACTTTAGCCTGATAATCTAACGTAATAGTAAATTTGGTTTTACAGCAAGACTCAACACAAATATTCTATATCAAAGTACACCAGTTATAATTTGCGTATAAATGAACTTAAAACCTTATTTTAAAGTTTCTAATTCAGTAGATCAGATGTAGTACTTACGATATTGCAATACTTGCAAGTCACTAGGTGATGTCAATGTTTCTGTTCCTTGGGCCACACTTCGATTAACAAGAGCCTGTATGGCTTATGAATCACAGGTGAAATTTCTGACAAATAGCAATCAGAGATATCAAACGATAATACTTTCATTAATGTTGGGAGTTTCATTGTCATATTATTAAGGAGAAAAGTAATGTTATCATGGGAAGTCAGAGGAATTACACAGCAGGACATATCCAGCAACAGATATGGAGGAGTAGGGGAGTATGGGTAGGTGGAAATAAGACTATAGGTTGGCTAGAAGACAGGGGTAGTTTAGGTGGATCCATGAATCCTACAGGACAGGTCAGTTGAGAGCTTTAAAAATCCTATCAACTCTGCTAACATTCTGGCTAAGAGGCAAATAGAAACATGGACAACACCACTAAATATTTTATTTTATGATTGTTATTGACTACATTTGCAACATAATTTATAAATACATTATAGATAGTTTTATTTATTCTTTTTTTCTTCTCTAAAATTACTCTCTTTCACCTCCTCAAGCCATTAATCTTGGCTTGCTCTGGGATTTCAAACACACTTATTTTACCCTCCTTAGATAAAAATTTTCTTCTTGTTAAAATCTATACTTTAATTAAAACATATCTAATTTGATATCTTTCTAGAATATTTTTGTTCTTCCTTAAACTTTATATTAAATTTGGAGTCCCTTGTTTATTTTTCTTAAAATGCTTATGTTTGGTATTTAATACACTTTATATTTCTCTCAAAATAATTTGCAAATTTTTTATATAGAGCAGGACTTCTCAACTCTGACTGAACATTAAAATTACCTGGAGAGATGTAAAAATGTACTTACTAATTAATTAAACTAAATTAAATGAATAATGACTTATGCCCTACCTTTATCCCAGATGGTTAATTTAATTAATAGACTCAGTGCTGGCAGAGGTTAAAATCTGCACTGATGGCTTTAATGGGAACACAGAGATGAGAACCATGCAAATGAAATATTTTCTAAGGCTTAATTCTCTGTCTCCTCTATATATTTTATGTAACCTACAGATTCATCTCTGGGCCTTAATCAGTATCATAGCAATTTTTTCACTAAAGAAATTGCCACTGTTACCGCAGCATTCAGTTTTGGTTTTCATGAATGAAAGGCAAGCTTTTTGTTGTCAATAACTTTGATAAAAATCTTTTTTTTAAGAAAAGTATGTAGTAGCTAATCACTTGGTCCAAGTAACTTGAATGCTAAATCACAGACAGCTGTGTCCATATCTGTCTCATTGTTTTTTTCATGATAAATACAGCAAGAAACTACTATAAATAGAATTAATCTAATATGTTTATGCACACAATAGGAGCCTGCTGAAAGTTGGGCTGTTTTTGAATCTACAGCTCTGTTTATATGCTTTTTGTGTGTAAACATTCACAGATGGGTACACTTTCTCTATTAAGAACACCTGCAGAAGATTGCTGGAAACATTTCAGAAAAATCTTGAATTATTTTAAAATTTGTGTCATACCACCTGCTGATTGATGATTTTTGTAAAATTTTACTTAGGTAAGTGTGCATTACAATATTAAGATTTGTTCACTGCCAGCAGTGGAACTCGATCGATATGGTGAACTGTTGTTTTGGTCTTTCCTTCATTCCTTTATATGTCAATTTCTTCATGCCTTTATTTAGTCATTTATTACTGCATGTAAAGAATTCTGTAAAAAGATGAACAAAGTACAAATAATTCTGTTCAAAATATATTTATTGCTACCTTCCTGGTGAACAGAATTAGATTATGTAGAAACTTGGACAATTCCTTTTCCCTTTTCTCTTCAAATTCAATCGTCCTTTTCTCTGTGCTCATGTTGTTCCTACTTAAATTATGAAATATTTACATCCCGAATTAATTAAAAAAGAAAGGGAGCTGCAACACACTTATTTTCATATAATATTTTCTCACTTTACCCATAATTAATTTCTCAATCTATATGCCACTCTACTCTGGCCCTATTCTCAAATTTGCTCTTGTTTCATGCAAGATTTTGAAGAAAAGTTGAATTTACCCTGCTACAGAAAAGAAGTCCCAAGAAGTTCCGAACTTCCAAAATTGCTGTGGCTATTGCCAAGTGTTAGGTTGGTACAGAAGTAATTGCAGGTTTTGTCATTGATTTTAAATGGCAAAAACCGCTATTATTTTGCACCTACCTAATACAAAGCTACAAGAGCATTGGCATATTAATGAGATAATCAACCATCTCCTCAAATGTATTGTTAAATAATTTTATAAGTAAAGCTATACCTGTGTTGTGCTTCAACAAAGCCATATTTGTTTAATAGATGTTTTTCATTTTCCTTCTTTCATGTTCTTTGAAATTGTTTGGCAAAACAAACAAAAAAAGAAATATGATTCCATTGTCTGTATTTTATTGAATACATTAGATATTCTAATATCTTAATACCCTTCTTGGGCTCATATCAATTAAATAAAGATTATAATACACCCTTCTAGGGCAAATATATATTTTAGCAGGAAACACCATGAATAAATATTATTGAAAGGGAAGGCGCTGAACTTTAGACTTATTTGATGAATACAAATTGTCCTCCACCAGGGAAAATATAAAGCATAAATGAAAGTTTTAATTTATTATTCATACAGCATAAAGCTTTGGTTATTAAATGTCAATTTATTAGAAAAAGAACTGTTGCATTTTTAGACTGCACAGTCACACACTACAACATTTGTATGTTTTAATTATAAAGGACGCCAGGAAGGTTGTGTAAACATATTTCCTTTAAACTCGAAAAACTTCCATCCACTGTAGAAATTGACATTGTTTCACTTGAAAAGTAACTCAGGCTTGCATCTTTTGCAGGATAAAAAATCAGCTTTCATTTTACTGTTTTTTTTTCTCATTCGTTTTTGTGTGGGTAACATACACATAACACAAAATTTACTATCTTAACCACTATTAAATGTACTGTTTAGTGGTTCAGTGTCCTGTTCAGTAAATATATGCATAATGTGCAACCATCATCACTATCCATCTCCATAAACTTTTTATCTTTTAAAATAAAACTCTATATCCATTAAACATCACTTGCCCATGACCATCTCCACTTAGCCCCCAGCAACCACCATTTACTTTCTGTAGTTAGGACTTTGCTATATATTCTATATTCCACAGACATAAGTGAAATCATAGAGTATTTGTAATTATTTGACTAGTTTATTTCACTTAGCATAATTTCTTCAAGGTTCATCCATGTTGTATCATGTGTCTGAATTTCCTTCCTTTTGAAAGTCTGAAAGTTTTATTTTATGTATATGTCATAATTTACTTATCCACTTATTTGTTGATAGACTTTGGGTTGATTCCACACTTTTACTATTCTGACTAATGCTGCCATGAACACTGGTATACAAATATACCTTGGAGACTCTCTTTTTAATTCTTTTAGGGATACATCCTGAAGTACAATTGCTGGATCATATGTTATTCCTATTTTTAATTTTTTGATAAATCAACATACAGTTTTCCACATCAGCTGTATTATTTTACATTCCCAAAAATGTGCAGAAAGATTCAAAATTCTCCACATCTTTGATAATGCTGTTGTTTATTTTTGATAGTCATATAAATAACTATAACTAACTACTGAGTGTAGTTTTGGCTTGAATTTTCCTAATGATTACTGATATTGAGCATCTTTTTAAGTGCTTATTGGGCATTTGTATATCTTTTTGGAAACATTTGTATGTACGTTGCTTGTGTTCTAAAGGAGTTTTTTTCTTTTGTTGTTTTTATTGAGTTTAGGAGTTCTTTATGTATTCTGGATATTAATCTCTTATCAGATTTATGAATGGCAAATATTTTCTCCCATTATTTTGGTTGCATTTTTATTCTATTGCTATTGTATTTTAATGCACTTTTTTATTAATTACAATTTGTCTATTTTTCCTTTGGTTACCTGTGCCTCTGGTTATAGCTAAGAAATAAATTCTAAATTTAATGTTGTGAAACTTTTGACCTATGTTTACTTCTAAGACCTTTATAATTTTAAGTCTTACATTTAGGTCTTTGATCCATGTTGAATTAACTTTTTACAGGGTGTTAAGTAAGGGTCTACGTCCTTTTTGCATGTGGATATCCAATTTTCCCAGTTCCATTTGTTAAAAAGACTGTCCTTTTCACATTTTGACACCTTTGTCAAAATAATAATATATGTGATGGTTTATTTATGGGTTTTCTATTCTATTTCATCAGTCTGTATGTAGGTCTTTATGCCAGTACCACACTGTTTTGATTATTGTAATTTTATAGTGACTTTTGATATCAGAAAGTATAAGTCCTCCAGCTTTGCTCTTCTTTTTCAAGATTGCTTTGGCTATTTGTGGTCCACTGAGAGTGCATATTTATTTTAGAATTTTTTTTCTGCAGAAAATTATTGGGAATTTGGCAAAGATCATATTTAATCTGTTTTGGGTAGTATTGATGTCTTAGCAGATTTAAGTATTACAATTCATAAAGATAACTTTCCATTTATTTATTTCTTAGAGCAATGCTTTGTAGTTTTTATTGTATGAAACTTTTACCTTCTTGATTAATTTCTAGGTATTTTATTTGGGGGCTAATGTAAATGAGATTTTTTTAATGTATTTTTTTCAAATCTTTCATTGTTAGTGTATAGAAAAGAAAGTGAAAATTGTGTGATGACTTTCCATTTGAAACTTTGCTAAAATTAATATACTAGTTCTCACGGTTTCTTTAAGGATTTCCACATATAAGATCATACCGTCTGTGAAGAGAAATGATTTGACTTCTTCCTTCCAATTTGGATGCCTTTTATTTTTTCTTCTTGCCTAGTTGTTTGCCTAGTTCTTTTTGCTCATGTGTCCAGTACTGTACTGAATAAAGGTGACAAAAGTGGGTACCATTGCCTTGTTCCTTTATCTTAAAGAAAAAACTTTCAATCCTTAACAATTGGATACGATGTTTGCTGAGTTTTTATATATAGCTTTTATTATGTTGAGATAGGTTCCTTCCATTCCTAGTCTGTTAAGTGTATTGATTAGGGTAGTAAATCTTGTCAAAAGCTTTTTCTACATCTATTGCAGTAATTATAGACTTTGCTTTTCCCCCCATAATTTGTGAATTTCTTGTAGTGCACTGGTTAATTATTGTATATTCAACTGCCTTTTTATTACAATAAATTCCCCTTGGTGATTATATTAATCAGGGTTCTTCAGAGAGATAGGACCAATAGGATATATATATCTTATAGGATATATATATCTTACATATGATATGTATTATATATACCTTGTATAACATATAACATATATTATATGTCATATGTTTTATATATAATATATAATAATAAATATATAATATATAATAATACATATATAATATATAATACATATATAATATATATACATTCTTATATATTATAATATATAATAATACATATATAATATATAATACATATATAATATATATACATTCTTATATATTATAATATATAAGTTTATTAGGGAGAATTGGCTCACATGATTACAAGGCAACGTCCCACGATAGGCTTTCTGCAAGCTCAGAAAAGAGAGAAGCCAGTAGCATGGCTCAATCCAGTCCCAGAGCCTCAAAAAGAGGGAAGGTGACAGTGCAGCCCTTAGAAGCCAAAGGACCAAGAGCTCCCTGGAGGCTGCTGATACAAGTTCCAGAGTTCAAATGCTGAAGAAACTGGATTTCAATGCCCAAGGGCAGAAGGAGAGGAAGCCAGTGTGTGGCATGGGAAGACAGAGAGAACCAGAAGACTTGGCAAACAAGCTTATCCCCACTTCCACCTGCTGTGTTCTAGCCATATTGGCACCTGATTGGATGGTACCCACCCAAATTAAGGGTAGGTCTTTCTTTCCCAGTTCACTACTCAAATTTCTATCCTCTCTGGCAGCACTCTCACAAACACACTCAGAAACAATACTTTACTAGCCTTCTAGACATCCCCCAATCCACCAAGTTGACACCTAGTACTAACCATCACAGTGATGATGTATGGATATTTTAGAAGGCTGCTGAGTTAGCTTTGCTGGTATTTTGTTGAAGATTTTTTCAACAAATCCCACAGGGAATGCTGGTATGTGGTTTTCATTTTTTGTAGTATCTTTGACTTTGGTATCATGAGAATCCTGGCCTCACATAGTAGGTAAGAAATGTTCTCTCTTCTTCAGTTTTTTTTTTTCGATTTCTTACAATAATTGGTGTTAGTTTATTATTATCATTAGTAGTAGTAGTAATACTTGGTAGAATTTAAAAATGAATCCATCAGGCACAGTAGGATTTTCCTTTTCTTTGTAAGGAGATTTTTGATCGCTGATGCAATCTCATTACTAGTTATAGGTCTATTTAGATTGTTTATTTCTTTGCAATGTATTCTTCGTAGGTTTTGTGTTTCCAGGAATTTGTCCACTTCATTTAGCTTATGATTTTATTGACATATAATTTGTCATAGTGCTCTCATAATATTTGTATTTCTTTTGAAACAGTAGTAACATCTTCACTATGATAATTTTAAATAATACTTTTAATAATTTGCATCTTCTCTGTATTTTTACTTTTTCCATCTAAGTGAAGGTTTGTCAGTCTTTTTGATTCATTCAGAGAACCAAATTTTGGTTTCATTGATTTTTTAAATTGTTTCTTCTCTTCTCTATTTTTGTTATCTCTTTTCTAAATTTTTATTCTTTTTTTTCTTCTTCTAGTTTGGGGTTTTGTTTATTCTTATTGTTCTAACTTCTTAAGTGTTTGATTTGAGACGTTGCTGATTTTTTAATGTAAATGTTTATAGATATAAATTTTCCCCTTAGGGTTGCTTTTGCTGCATTGCATAAGTTTTGACTTTTAAAATTATTTTTTATTCGTTTCTAAGTTTTTCTGATTTCCTTATGATTACTCCTCTAATCCATTTGTTACTTGGTTGTTCAAGTGTATTGCTTAATTTCCATAAATTTGTGAATTTTCCAGTTTTTACTTCTAACTTTATCCTATTGTGATCAGAGAAGATACTTTGTGTCCTATCTATCTTGTAAAATATATTGAGACTAAATTTATGGTATAATGTATGGTGTGTTCTGAAAAATGCCCCATGTGTATTTCAGAAAAATGTTTATATTATTATTATTGGGTGGCATGTTCTGTGTATATCTGTTGTGTCAAGTTTGTTTTATTGCTTTGTTTAAATCCTCTATTTTGTTACTTATCTGATTATTCTATACATTATTGTGAATGGAGTATTGAAGTATCCAACTGCTATTGTAGAATTGTCCATTCCTCTCTTTAGTTCTGTCAGTTTTTGCTTTATATATTTAATAGTCTGTGATTCAATGCATAAATGTTATAATTGTTATATCGTCTTGCTTTATTGGATCTTTCATTAATATAAAATGAAAGATCTTTTTTATCTCCTGTAAATTTCTTTTTAAAGTCTTTTTTTTTTCTGATATTAGTATGGCCACTCCTGCCCCCTTTCGGCTACTATTAGAAAAAAAAAACCTTTTTCCATCCTTGCATTTTCAATCTACTTTTGTCTTTGCATTTAAAGTGAATCTCTTGGAGACAACATATTTTTGGTTCATAATTTTTTAATTTATTGTTCCAATTTCAGACTTCTTATTAGATAGTTTAATTCATTTATATTTATTTAAGTAATTACGGAGATGGAAGGACTTACCTTTGTCATTTGTTTGTTTTCTTTTTTTTTTCTTTTGATCATACAGGGTTCTTTTTTATTTATTTATTTATTTTATGTTTGTTTTCTTTATGCTCTCTTTTTCTAAATTACTGTATTCTTTTGTGTTTAGTTGATTTTTTCTAGTGAAATGTTTAAACTTTTTTCTCATTTACTTTTGTATATATGTTATAGGTTTCTGTGCTTAAAATGGGAGTTAAATTTAACATACTAAATTTATCTACCAACTCAACTTCAATAACAAACATAGCTTTGCTTTTTTAATAATTTTATATTCACCCCTTTGGCTTATTGATTGTCCCGTCTTCAAGTTTGGTGATTTATTCTTCTACCAGCTCAAATCTGGCTTCCAACCTTTTTGTAGTTCTTTCATTTTAGTTACTCTATTTTCATTCCAGAATTACTTTTTTGGTTTATTTTTAAGTTTTCCATCCGTTTCTTGATATTTCCATTTGTTCATACGTTGTTTTCCTGACTTTCTTCATAACATTCTTTAGTTTTTAAGCATTTTTAAGAGTGTTGTTTTAAAGTCTTCCTATAAGTTCTTTTACAAAATCAGTTTTTGCTGATGTATTTATTTCTTTTGGATAGACTGACCTTTTCTGTTCCTTTGTGTGTCTTATAAATTTTTGTAAAAAACTGAGCATTTAAATCTAACAACTTGGTGATAGTAACTCTGAAAGTTAGCTTGTCCGTCTTTCCCAGGGATTGCTCTTTTTTGTGTATTTGTTTTGTCTTTTTCATTATTGTAGGCTGTCTTTATGCTGAAGAGTAGTCTGAGGTGTAAACTTCAGGTCTTCTCATATCTTCCCTGAGCCTGCACTAGTCCTTGGGCATGTGAGATCTTTCTTATTTTCTTCACATATGTAGTTACTTTTGAATGTTCTCATGTTTATTGTCTGGCTCCCAAAAGGTACAGAGATAAACATTAATGGAGGATAGGGAAAAACACTAGCTCTTTAAATCCTCTGGAAGTTACTTCAGGCAGAGGTGCAGAGGCTTACAAAAAAGGGGTAGGGTACAACAAAAATAGCCACCGAACTTTTTGTCTACCCTTCTGAGATTGGAAAGAGCAATTTGGAATCTGCACACCTGTCTCTAATATTTTGAGAACAGCATGCTTTTGATATATCCTGGCTTCTGTAAGCTACATATGAGCTTCTCATGGAACACAGGTATGGCTGCCTGTCATGGTGCTGAAGATGAGGGATGGTTAGCTGCTCCTGTACTAAAACCTAAACTTGACCAAAATTAATTGTAATTTACCATCCAAGACTATTCCCGGAAGTTTCAAACCTGTACAAGACTCTATAGTTCCAAAAGAGTTTTATCAGATAGATTGGGCCACTGCAGTCGTCTAGGTGGGGAGACAGATTCCTGTGTTTCCTACTCTGTTATCTTTCTTGAATCTTCCAATTCTACTCTTGAGCTAAAATTTAAACTAAACAATTAACATTTTTATATAAAATTATACTATTCATTGGTTTGATGATGTCCCATTATCTTTTTTAAATTAAATGCTTAGATTTTTTGTTTTTTGCTATATCATCAATCATCATTTATGAAAAAAAATTAAATAACACATACCATATGAGAGCAGCTGTGAGGCCAAGAATAATTTCAACTGAAGTTGTACTATAATTGGAGTTCACTTATTCCACCGAGTTGGAAAGGCCATGTAAATCGTCACTTAATTTCAAGGTAGAAAAAACAATTTATTCACAAATTATCTTTTGGTTTCATTAATTATACTCAGTTTCAGTATACTGAGGTAGATTCCTCCTACTATTGAACTACCTTTTGACCAGTAAATCTAATGCTATACAGAAACATTTTGAATCAGATTAATGTTTATATAATCATAGAGCTAGTCTCAAATTTATATGGACAAACTCAAAATAATCACTGGAAATTTTTTAATCAAATATCATTAATTTAGAACTTATTAAAATTAGCTTTCTATCAAGTGGAAATGTTACCATTCTTCATTATGTTTCTCTGCACTCAATCCATTAATATCATCTTGCTGGATTATAAAATGAAGGTGAAAATATTGTCTCAAAATTACCATTGCTAAATATCCGTACAAAAAATAAAAATAGAAATGAAAGGTATGGATTTATGATGTTCTTAACTCATCATACATTTGAATTAGCTTCTCTAATTTCAGAATTCAAGAAATTATCTAAGAAAACTTTATTGAGAAAATGAAAATTAAAGACCAAAATATTGTTTCCATGACATGATAGTAAAAAAAAAAAAAATGGAATCTGCATAAATAGTATAAGACGATCATATTGGAGGTTATGGAGTGTATATGGAAACTGAAGGGGTATATGAAAGGTGATTTTTTGCTTGAATCAATGTATAAAATAATGGTTTTCAAAAAAATCCATTTGGCTGCAAAACATTCTGAAAAAAATAAGGAAAGTTTTAGATTAATATTTATCATTAGATGTCAGACTTGGTATAAAAGCTTGAAGCCATGTTTATTGTATTTTTATTTGCTAAAACCATTCGAGTCAATGATTTGCAAATAAAATTCTAAAAAATTGAAGGCCAAGACCATTATTACAAGCACAGTTTTCACAGTATAATGTAGTATAAAGTACCTGAATTTTGAGGTTAGAAATAACTTGGTAGTTATAAGTATAAAATTAAAATACATGGATTTTATTTCTAAGTTACTCATCTTCTAGAACTAAAAATATGTATCCCAAGATATTACATATAATAAGTAAAATATCAAAATTAACATTTTCATGGTGACATTTAAAATAAATACTAAAATATATGATTGCAAAATTGGCTAAATTATTTCAAATATCAAGGGAAATGTTAACACTTTTTTTTCTTATGGAAAGATGTGTTTATATTTAAACTTTTTAAAATTTCCTGCTGCACGTATATAAACTATTTTGAAAAAATAAGCAAACCAGTTAAAAATTTCTTACATTTTTAAGATTTTTTTTTTCAGGCATACAACATATATAGGAGGCAATACTGAAGAAGGAAAAGAAAAATTGACAATTTACAACTAATAATTTGCTTGGTGATAATTGAAATTTCACCAATTTTCTATCTAATCTTTGTTTCATTTTTTTGAAACTTTAAAAATAAACTTTACCTTATTTTAAAAGTTTAACATTTTAATTTTACAAAAATGGAATTTTTGTAAAATTATTATGTGTTGAGCAGTTCAGCTATATATTTCCAACACTTGAAATGTTTTTAAATATACATTATTTTCATTGTCTTTCCATTACTTGGTTACTGTCAATAAGAATGTGTGTGTGCATGTGTGTGTATGTGTGTGGACCTTGAGTAATTAAAAATACATTTTCCTAATGAAATAACACCAGAGTATTTTATTCAAAAAATATTTTATTTTTATTTCTTTTTTTTTCAAGACAAGTAATTCATCAGCAATAAAGATACTATTCATTTTATTAAGACTGTTTATGAGAAGGCTTAATATATGAACAGCTTCTAATTCACAAGTTTGCAAAAGCATGTTTATATTAATTTCAGTGCCAGATTGATAATACATGTTATGTGTGCACAGGAATTAGATTTGACAGTCTTTTTTTTAAAAAAAAATAGTACTTGGTACCAAGGTTGTGGTAGACCTCTAATTAGGATATAACTTCCTGATCAGAGGCTACAGACATTAACCAAAGAGAACTTGACCTTTTTACTGCAAAATATGGTCTCATTTATTTAAAAAAAGTACTAAACATTTTTATAAGGTTATTACCAGTTACTTGTTAAGTGTATATGTGAATAGGGGTTCTATAAGAGCAGGTTTCTTTTTCTTTCTGTGTCTTATGGTTTTTCTCCTTTGAATAATTTTTTGGTTGATGAGAAAACATGAGCTCACTTCTCAGTTTAAGAAGGTCTTGAACATCTGGCTCTTGATAGAGGAGAAACTTTGGCTCTGCTGGTCTTGAATTTTCTTTATTGAAAATCACTTTGACCTTTTCTGATCTGTACTGTTAGCAACCTCTATCATGTTAAAGGAATTTCACAATTGCTCCAGTCTGGTTTATTAAGGTTCCCCTTTGTGTTTGGTACCAAAGCTTGTCCATCAAAGAAGTGTGATTTTTTTTTATTTTTATTTCCATAGGTTATTGGGGAACAGGTGGTGTTTGGTTACATGAGTAAGTTCTTTAGCGGTGATTTGTGAGATTTTGGTGTACCCATCACCCAAGCAGTACACATAGCACACAATTTGTAGTCTTTTGTCCCTCAATCCCTTCCCACCCTTTCTCACTGAGTCCCCAAAATCCATTGTGTTATTCTTATGCATTTGTATCCTCACAGCTTAGCCCCCACTTATGAGTGAGAATGTAGAATGTTTGGTTTTCCATTCCTGAGTTACTTCACCTAGAATAATAGTCTTCAATCTCATCCAGGTCCCTGCAAATGCCATTAATTGATTCCTTTTTATGGCTGAGTGGTATTCCATCATATATATATACCACAGTTTCTTTATCAACTCATTGACTGATGGGCGTTTGGCTTGTCTGACATTTTTGCAATACCTCTTTAATAATACCTTTAATAATACCTCTCTCTCAGAGCAAAAAGTAATTTCTAGAATAGAGAAAAATAAAAAGAGGAAATTTTTAAGTTAGCCTTGCAAAGGAAACATCAGATTGGAAAATTATATTCCAATATTCCAATCAGCAACATCAAAGAACATGAAATAAATATTTCATAATTTTATCAATTATTCAAAATTAAATATTAAAATTCCAAAATGCAAACTTTCCTAACATAAAGGAATGCATATTGATCAAGGCCTATTTATTACCACATTTATATGAAAGTATCTTTCAGCTGAATTTTTGATCAGTTTTTATTATTTTATTATTTGGATCACATTTTATTATTCATTTTTATTATTTTGATCACTTTTTATTTATTAAAAAGGGATGATGAAACATCTTCTTCTCTTTTTCAGTTAGCACACACACAGTTACATACAGATTTATTAGTAGATAAACCATAAGCTTAATTGAGATCTTTTTGATAGTTGGCAAATAAAAAAATTGCTCGTCAGCCTAATCTATATTTTTAATCTTTTTCTGCAGTATAAATAAACTTTAACTGTAATTCTATATGTCAGGGTAAATATGCTACATTGTCCGGTTTGGGTTCAGTGACATTCACTAATTACATTGTAACAGAATTTTAGTTTAGGTATTCTACCTTCTTCCAAGAATTCCACATGCTTTTTAGTAAATTGGCTATATGATTCTTTGGAATTCCCTGAGAAACCTATTTTTGTTTGAAAAAAAATCTAATTAGTGCCTCTCTTAAAAGAAAAACTTTAGACAAGTTAGGTTTATCAGAGTTTATTTGTGCAAAGACAAATTCAGGAATCAGGCAGCACTCTGAACAGGATAAGTTCATAGATTTCCACCCAGGAATGTGGGTAGGAAGTATTTATAAACAGAAAAAAGAAAAGTGACTTACAGAATTATCTTGATTGGTTACAGCTTGACATTTGCCTTATTTCAGTATGATCTGATCAGTTGGCAGCCTGTGGTTGTCTGAAGCTTAGCTACTGTGATTGGTTAAAACAACTATTTGTTAAAATAATAAACTCTTAAGTTACAGTTTCTTGATATACTAATTTAGGTTGCAATTTGTTACGTATGGACTCAAGATATAGAAGAAGCTTTTGGCCAGATCCAGTTTAACACCTCTCATCCTCTATCCAAAGTGATTGGTTAAAGGGTGATGTTAAGCTTATTTTGTTGAAAGAGACATCAAGAAAAACTGACTGTGGCTCCCAGGAAAGAATCTTGATTAATATTCTAAGGCACACGGCAAGATATGAAGAAGAATGAATGCCACCACAATAGACTGTTGGCTGTCATCCTCCACCATAAAGAAAGCCAGCCTTAAGATGAACATATTCTACAAGACAAATAATTTTAAAAGTGTGTCTTTTTCTGACATTGTTAAATATGGATGAGTGTTGTCATAAAGTTGACCCAGGATATAGACTTTTCAGTTAGCCAATATACAACTATTTTTATAGCCTATACAAATTGAATTTTCCTTTACTTACATCTAAATAATTCCCATTTGCAGCTAAAAACCAACTTTTTTCTTATTTTTTTTACATAGTAACACACATTTAAAGTAATGATATCTGTATGATAAACTTTAAAATTAAGTAGGCTGCTCATAGGTAGAGATAAATATATTACAATTTTCTATTCGTTTCTATAGAGGCTAAGTTCATACATAAAAAATCATCATAATTTTGTTTGACTTCTCCTGCTTAGTCCACTAATTTCTTGGATATGCTAGTAATCACACATTTCAAACAAAGGAAATAAAATACAGATGCTCCTTGATGTAAGATGGGATTACATCCTAAGAAACTCATTATAAGATGAAAATAATATAAGTTGAAATTGCATTTGATGCACCTAACCTACCAAATATCATATATTAGCCTAGTCTAACTTAAATGTGCTCAGAACACTTATATTAGCTAGCCTATAATTGGGCAAAATCAAATAACATAAATACCATTTATAATAAAGTACTGAATATCTCATGGAATTTATTGAACACTGTACTGAAAGTTAAAAAACAGTGGTTGTATAAGTACTAAAAGTAGAGTTTCTACTGAATGCATATCAGTTTTACACCATCATATATTGAAAAACCATAATGTAAGTCAAACCATAATGTAAGTGACCATACTATATTTCATATTCTAGATTCTTTCTATTAAAAAAACAAAATTATTTCATAGAAGCTTTAAAGAGGTTAAAATTAATTGAAGATAGCATTTATTTACTACTTACTTATTCAGCATTATGAGAAGAAATTAAGTCTCAATTTTCTTCACTGAGGAAGTGATTATTTTGTATCACATGAGTACATAAGCAGTTTTGCATCATCATAGTATATTAACATGTTGTCTTCTAAAACCAATACTTGCAGTCTTGAATTTTGTATGCCTTTGAGATTGTTAGCACAATTGTAATACATATTTAAAAGTATTGTATTCATGTACATTGCTTTGTATATTTGGTTACATTTATGTAATTCCCCCACCTCCATAGTTTACTGCATATCCTTGCAAGTTTCTGGTGATTATCTGGAAGCATGAATAAATCACATCCATCTGGCCTATACTTCAAAAACTCATAATCGAAGAAATATTGGCCTAAAATAATTTATGTCCTCTAACTGGCAGTTGTAAAGTTTCTGATGATGTCTCTCCTACATGTATCTTGATTGTAGATATATTAAAACATCTGAGTGTAACAGAGAAAATGGGGATGTAATATTTTAGCATCGGAATATAGTACTATAATTATTTAGACAATTTCGTAGTTGCAGAAGCAAACATTGCCCTTTCAGCATGATGCTGTACCTTCCCAATTTAGAAATCAGATAATTCAAATATGATTTGTTATATCAGTAACATAAAATCCACTAAAGAAAGGCTAGAAAGAAAGTGGATTATGGAGCTACAAACAAATCTCCTCTTTTAAATACATTTATTTTCATGTAAATTAACACTTATACCTATAAATGGGATCCTAATATTCTTTTAGCTTAAATACTATACTTCATCTTATTAAAATTGTGAAAATACAAAATATTTTTATCTTCTGTTCATTAAAAGAACTAAATGCCTAGAAGTTATCTTGCTTCATTTCCAGGTGTTTCACCCATAAAATTTGAAATATCTAAGCTATATACAAATGCTAATAAAAACAACACTTTTAAATAAACTACTGTGAGGAGTATGTAATATGATTGACAAATAATATAGGTAAATAATATGCCTTACACTAAGTAAATATAGCAAAAATGCTTTTAAAATTATTTATGTAATGTTATTTTAGCAGTTTTGAATACACATGCTTTCTTCTTGACAATTTTATAGAACATAAAATTTGGATATAAATTGTATATTAAAATGTCATATTTAAAATTCATTCAAAAATTGGTTGGCAGTGTCTTTTTTTTCAGTTGAAAAACCCATTGATTTAGAATCTAACCACCTGCTACAGCAGATGAGTGCCTCTTCCTCTTTGAAAGGAGAATGCCTCAATCTGTGCTTTGGATCTCTTTGAACTATTTTCTATCCCAGTGCTTATTATCTATTCTTTCTCTCAACATGCAATCAGGTTCTCTCAATTTGATTCTTCTCATTTTTAAAAGCATCTTCTCAGTTCTCCTTATTTCAAAAATCAATAACAGTAGCAGCAGCAACAAAACTTCTGAATCCTATTTCTTCCTTTTGTCAACCTATACTAAGCTTTCCTTCATGACTGACACTCTCAAAACGTGTGCCTATTCTTATTGTTTTTATTTTGTCACCAACATGTCTGGCAATTCATTGGAACTGGCTTCTGTCTCTATTAATAACCTAAGCAGCTCCCACTACTAAACAAAGCCATAGCCTCTGTGTTACTAAGTCCAAATCTCATTCTACCCAGAGTGTTAATCCCCCCACCCATTCATTTATTTCTATGTACTTTGTTTTTTCTTTTACAATATTCTCATGCATTTTTTCTACCTCACTGACCACCCATTCAGTCTCCTGTGCAAATCCGGTTTCAATAATAAAACCACGGTAAATTGAGTTTCTCCAGGTCAGACCTAGAAAACCTTCTCTTTTCAATCTATACCTTCTTCCTTGATCTTATCCAAATCTTAGGTTTTGAGATTTACTTTATTGAAAGAAAACTTACAAATGTATATCATCATTTTAGTTATCTCCTCAGAGCTCATGATGGAATATGCTGTTTGGTATCTCTGTTTATCTTAAAAACACTTCACAAACAACATTCTAAAGGATGAAAAAGACTTACACTCAAAAGACATGTGTAACTATTCTGTTATACAGGACAGTAATTTACTTTTGTCCTTCTCCACTCCATCAAACTTAAGCTCAACATCAAACTCTATCAAACTGAACCATATTATGTCTATTAAATCTTCACATTTATCTTCACAATGCAACCCCCTTCTCTCCTGTCTCCCTGTTATGTAGATACACACACACACAAACTAGTCCAAGATATTTTCATGTGTCTTCTAGAATATTAGTTATTCTGTTGAACCTCCTTTTTTTGCTTCCAGTCAATTCTCCATTTCTGCATTCAGAATTCCAAAGTGCAAATGTTATCTGAAAAATAAGCCCTTCATTAAAACATTTAAATGGCTCTTCAATGCCCTCAGCCATAAAAAAAAGTCTTTAATATTTGTCCCATGAAGTGCTGTGTGATAGGCCCTCTAATTGTCTTCCCAGCAGATTCTCACAATGTGATACTGTGAGCAACGCTATGTTATATAAACTCACTTATTAAAGTCTAATAGTACATTCAGAAACATGAGCGGGTCATAAATACACACCTAGATAAATGTTCATGAAGTGATTACATGTAAGCAACCAGAATATTCTTGAGAAAAAGACCTTAAGTGCAACCCAGAAAACCTCTCATCCTTTCTCCTACTCATCTCACTCTCTCCTGAAAAGTAACTATCCTTGTATATGCATGATAGATTAATTTTCTTTAAGTTTGAAATATATGCAAATGGAACCATATATTATGTCTTATTTTATTTCTGGCAAATTTTATTCAAGATTAGATTTATGTCTTCTGTATAAAATAAGTTATTTATTTTGTCAGTAGATGGTTAATGAGCATTTGGGTTACTTTTGTATTTTTAATTACTACAGTTAATATTATAGCTAGCCTTCTTGCACATGTCTTTTGATACATGTATCCATGGGTTTGTGTTATCTATGAAAGCAGGTATAAAACTCTGGGGACATAGTGTATTTATACATTCCCTTTCATATATGCTGAAAAGCTGTTTTCTAAAGTGGTTGTACTAATTTAGAAGTAGATAAAAGCTTCTGTTATTTCACAACTTTTCCTGCTTTTAGTACTTTAGTATTTTTAATTGTAGCCTGATGAGTATGTAGAAATACGTTAGAATAGTTCTACTTTGCATTCTCCTTATTACCATTGATGTAGTACAGATATTCATATGCTTATTGACCATTTGCATATTTTATTATGTAAATGTTCTGTATTGAGGTTAAGGAAGTTTCTTTTTGTCTCTGGTTTTCTAAGAGTTTTAGTCATGATGGATATGAAATTTGGTCATCATATGATGTTTGGACATCATATGTTTGTTCTTTATATTTTGTTAATGTGTGAATTATATTTATTGACTTTGAAAACAGAAATCCTAGGTATGTCTTTGGATTCTGTTTGCTAATATTTTGCCTAAGATTTTTTTATCCATGTTTGCAAATGCAATTGACCTGAAATTTTCATTTTTGAAATATTTTAGCAGGTTTTTAAATCAAGGTTATTCTGGAGTCAACATGACTCATATGCTTTTTTCTCTTTTTTCTCTCTTCACATAATGAACTATATATTTTCTGTTGCTTTATGTCTCTAGTCACAAATTCTCTCTTTCATTGTATAATGTCACTGTTCAATTGAATTTTTTTTTTTTTTGAGATGGAGTCTCGCTCTGTCGCCCAGGCTGGAGTGTAGTGGCGCAATCTCAGTTCACTGCAAGCTCTGCCTCCCAGGTTCACACCATTCTCCTGCCTCAGCATCCCAAGTAGCTAGGACTACAGGTGCCCACCACCACGCCTGGCTAATTTTTTGTTTTTAGCAGAGAGGGGGTTTCACCGTGTTAGCCAGGATAGTCTCGATCTCCTGACCTCGTGATCCACCTGCCTTGGCCTCCCAAAGTGCTGGTATTACAGGCATAAGACACCACACCTGGACTCAATTGAAATTTAATACTAATTATGTTATTTTTCAAGTCTAAATTTTCCATTTTCCATGGAATTGTCTTCTTCTTCTTCTCCTTTTTTTTTTTGGTAGTAGGGTAGTAGTTAGCACTGTACCCACTATTTGTGGTCCCCTTTTTTGGATCCCAGTAATTTGGTGAAACCAAAATGGTGAAAGTCTCCATTCTCCATTTTGTCATCTATTTCCTGAAAAAATTAATCATATTATTTTAAAACTCATGCATGCTAACCACATTATCTTATCTCCACATCCTCTTCTTCCTCCTCCTCCTCTCCTTATTTTTTTTTGTCTTGTCATTTGAAGTTGTCCACTAACATGATTGGTAGTTTTTTTTATTAAAACTGAATATTTGTATGAAAAATGGAGAGATAATTTGAAGCCTGTCCAATATTACCTTCTTCCAAAGGTTTAATTATGTTTTCTAGCATGCCATTACAGAAAGTACAGATCAACATATGGAACCAAGTCAATCTGAAGCTGTATTTCAGCCTTTGTAAAGACTGGTTTATTGCAGATTCTACCTTACTTCTTGGTTGTATTCTTAATAAAACCTTAAATTGAAATTCAGGATATGGTGTTTGCCAATATCTCTACTATTTGGTGAACCTTGAATTCCAGTTTTTGAATTCTCTTAGCTACCACTTCCTGGTAAGTTTTTGGTCCTTTGGTTCATTCTTAAAAATTTAGTGGAAAAAAATGAAGCAAAATGTAAGGCTTACTTCAGTGTTCTTCACTTATTGCCAAAAATGCTACTTCTCAAATCCTAGCTGCTTTAACTCTAAACTATTTTGTGGGCATAGTCATGTTGTGTAAAACTCCAAAACATGTCTCTCAGTATCCCAATCCTCTTCTTGCAGATTTCTATTCTGCTTCTTATTCTTTTGGCCCCACACAGGAAAATTAACAAATAAAGGACAGTACTTCCAAACAAGTAATGTTTCCCTTGATGCCTCTCTACTCCCCAGGATTCCAGACTCTCATGTCCTCGTTGCCTTGGTGGTTCTCTAACACTTTCACCTAGAGAGAGAGAGAGAGAGAGAGAGAGAGAGAGAGAGAGAGAGAGTGTGTGTGTGTGTGTGTGTGTGTGTGTGTGTGTGTGTGTGCGCGCGCATGCGCACTCAGTGGAGGTGGTTAAGGGGGCAGTTGGGGGGATTTATGTGTGTTGCCATCCAACTTTTCTACCTGTTCCCCATAGATGTTGTTCTGAATTGAAATGAACTGTCATTTATGAAAAATTACTCTCTTTATTGCTCATAAAAGGTGACATCTCTTCTACCACAAGACCGTGGCGTAAATTATTTTCTTTGAAATGTTCTCTTCCCATTCTAGTGCTTCCCACCACCTCACTTTAGTGAACTACCACTTATCTTTTAATATTGATCTCATTCAATATGTTCCCTGTACTTTGCCCATTATTTTAATAGTATATAATTTAAAATAACATTTTACCAGGTGTAATTTTATCAATATTTTTATACTTAGCTAAATAATACAAAGTCTGTAGAATATTTTAAAGCTAATAGCCCACCCTCCAAAATTATGGCTGTTCAATAAGTAAATGTGGTACTATTTTTAAATAAAAAATTAGATATAATAATTATTATTGCTTTGTTTAATGTTTGCTTGCATTTACCTTTTTGTTTATCAGTTTTCTTATTGGGTTTCCTAAGACAACCCTTGTGGAATATTTTCCTTTTTATACAATGAAAGTAGATTAGTAATAAATGTTCTTATGTTTCTGTTAAATAAAAAATATATTAATTATGTGCTTGCTTCTAAAAAGCTAGTTTCCTTGGTCTAAACTTGTATATTTACAGAATTTCATCTCAAAAAAGTCTGTGCATTTGTGTGTGTGTGTGTGTGTGTGTGTGTGTGTGTGTTTTCTTATTCCTATGGGTGCTATTGAGAAAGACCTGTTCCTTTTAATGATTTTTAAAAAATTTGATTAGGTAATCATTTTTCTCTAGTTGTACTTTTATTCTCTCTTTACATTAGTGTTTTTCTCTTTTTCTTTGAGCCTAAAATTGAAATTCATATTTTATATTGCACATCTCTTGGCAATTGTGGAAAAGTTTAAAATCTTTTGCAAAACCATCTCTTTTCCATTCTATTATATTCTATTGGCATAAAATTATTGTGTAGATGAGCCTTGTCACATTATCTTCCAGGTAGCTTACCAATTCCTTCATCTTTTCTTAAGGTACTGATTAATGTATTTACATCTTTCTTTTCAAGCTCACAATTTCTCTTTTAAAATTTATCTAGTGTGCCTTTTAAAGAGTCTCTTCTGCTTTAATAGTTCGTATTATATTGTACATTTCTATAATTATTCTTTTTGAAATCTTGGAGTTATTTTTTAATGCTTTCTTTTTGTTCATCTTTAAGCTTAGAATTTTGATTTAAATATAAATTAACCCCTATTGTATTCTCTGTAAAACTTCCCAAAAGGAAGAATAGGTCTTTTTCTGTTTTCTGTTCATTCATTTTTCCTGCTGCCGCTCACTTATGATTCTATTTGGATTGTATAATATGTGTTTTTGATGAGTCCAAGAGCTTGGATAATTAATCTATTATGATCCTTCTAGGTCTGATTTGAAGATGTACTTTTCCAGAGAGAATTTGCAAATCATTTGTCAATGTGGCTAAGCAACTTATTTAAATCAAATGGTTCTCATAAATTTTATTTGTAAGTAGTTCACAAAAGCAATTTGAGTTTAGTTCATGATATTTTATGTGTTTACTCCACAAATTACCTTAAGATTTTTTTCCCCTTGTAATTGATATAAGAGTTGGGCAGGCTTATTCCTTTAAGACACATTTTTCACAGTGGTTAATATTTTTCTTCAATGTTCTAATAAAAACGTTTCTGTTTGGCGTTCCATTTTCATAAGGTTTTCCCCTACCTTAACATGAAAAAGCATTACCTTCGGAATTATTTTTCAGTACAGACTTCAAAAGAGAAGCTCAAAACTTCAAGCATTTAGTTAAGAGGGGAAGCTATCTAGGATACAGATAGATAATACTGCACCAAATATTTTGTACTCCTTGTAGAACATAAAATTGTTACTGGGATGTGACCACATTACATTTGCCCATGTATATTTATTTAGGTGTGATTATGTGACTAAGTTCTCAACAATGGAACATGTGCAGAAGTGACATATAAAACTTTGAGGCCATGAAATTAAAAATCTGTCACATGATTAATAATTCTCTTCTGTCTCCTAGGTCAGTGTCTATGTTTAGATGGTGACAGAGCCACAAGATGCTAGGGTGTGTCTCTGTATAATAACCTTAAATCAGAGATCTCACACCACTGATTTGGCTTTTAATGGACAAGAACAACTTCCTTTTTTTTGCAAAGTCACTGACGTTTTAGATTTAACATTAACAGTGCTATCCTTACTTTATCTAATCCATAAATTGGTCACTTGATGTGTTATAATGATAAATGAGTTATTTTTTTGTATCAGGTGAAAAGTAGTAGGCATACATCAGCCAATACTTCATGAAAGACTTGTGTCACAAAATTAGGGCAAATAGAGACCTATTATAGTAGTCATTATTGTTCTTCTCCAGTATTTCTGGCTCAGCCCTTTGCTACCTACATACAACCCTTTGTTAATCTTTTTTGGTCTCTTTATGGTTTGATGAGGACATGGAATTAATCCTGTCTAATGAGAGCTATAAGTGAAAATGTTATATTCTCCAGAACCATAACATGTATTTGCTGGTGCTAGACTCTCCAAAGCTAGGTTTCTTTCTACAACAATGGCTGGAAGTCTTCTTGGTAGTAGCTGTGTTACTAACTTTGATCCCAGAGTGAAAATGTTGCAAAGCCGAACTCAAAGCCACATTGCCATTGGAACACAACATGAGTTAAATATAAACGTTATTGGTCTTATTCCATTGTAGTATAAGATTGCTTCGTTCTACAACATAACCTACAGTATAGACTGCTAAAAAATGGCAAAACACTTGGAAAAAACTTGCCTGTGATGATTAGAAGTTGGAAGGTAGACCAAGTGCCTGCTGACCTAAAACTCTAGAGGTTAAAAATAGTGTGTGAGATATGTATTGATTCAAATCAGTACATTTAGCAATGTATTAGATGTTTTAAAAATTTTGAGCTCCAAGGACTTGGAAATTTTACAAGTTCAATGGAATGGAGTTCAAAAATTTTGTGTCAGCGGAGTTGCAAAGGGTCACTATTAGTAAGCCCCAAATATGGTTATAAGACTGAAGAAGGTTTGGAGTAACACAATCCACCCAAGAGTCAACTCTGGATCAAAAATCAAATGATGATATACCCTTTCTTCCCATGCCTGATGCTGTCTGTCACTAGATAGAGTGAGTGAAGAATGAGGATAAGCGAGTAAGGCAACACACAATTAATTGAAAAATCAATCTAGGAAATGACTTTGCTTGTGGTTACAAATGCATGTAGCAAACATATGAAACAGAAATGAAAAGCTCATAACATTTTTGATGAAATTGCATTGCCAAAGAAATCATGAGCTAATAGTGTCCAAACCTTAGTACTTAGGTCAAACACCTACAAACGGAAACCTAGTTTTAACCAGAAAATATTTACAATTTTTTTTTTCACAACACAGAGTTGCTGCTTGGAAACTAGCTTTTCCAAGCTTCCTTTTATCTCTGAGTGATAAACTCTTGCCATTGGGATATGGTTGAAACTGATGCACCACAGTCCTAGACCTTAAACCTCAAAAATCTCCCAGGTGATCTACCAAACTAGATATAGCAACTCCTGCAGTGGACTCAAAGTCCCTCATGAGTGTCTACACAACATGGAAGGAATCAGGCTTTTAGAATTACCACATGGATTCCACCACCAAACAATTACATTGAAGTGTCTCGCGGGGTTCGGGGGGTCAGGGGGAAACTTTTAATGCCTTCAGTCTGAGATTTTGGGTTTGTTAAAGTAAGTAGCTCATTCTAGTAACTCAATCCCTTTATTCCTGTCTTGAATTTATAGCTTCTGATTATTCCTTTTCTTGCTAAGGAGCAACAGACTTTCAAATATATCTCCATATTTATATTGTCACAAGTTTTTTTTTTTAACTAACTGGAAGAATTTTCCAAGGTATGTAAGTCACTATGCTAATGGAAACATAACTCTATTTCTTCAGATCTTAGCAAATAATATCTCATTTAGGAATGCCTTCTCAAGTTTCACTGTCGTATGTTCTGTTCCAATGGAACAATTATACAAATTTAAATATATTATTTATATTTAGTATTATTTACATTTATTTAGATTTACCATTTATGGAAGAATGACACATTTTTCAATGCCAATCTACCTCACTTTAAGATCATGAAAGCACAGGGTTATTGTTTTAAATTGCCTCTGGATCTGCTGAATCTAGTAGAAAATGGAAAGAAAACAAATATTTGTAAATAATTATTCCTAAATTATATGTTATTTTAAAAATCTATCTTTTTTCATATTATTACACTCATTTATATATCTATTTTAAGTATAGGAATAAGGATAAAGAACGAGCATATTTTCGATATGCATATTCAGAATTCACAGCTATAAAAGTACTGTCAAAACACTTTAATATTTTGAATGGTGCCAAATATGCCGATTATGAACCAAAATCAACATAGTTCAGTAAACATGTATTTGCTAACTTTGCAAAATGTCCAAGGCACTGTGTAGACATTAAAAAACTGAAAACATGTAAGTTGGGAAATCTTATCCTCAAACTTCAATTTAATTAGAGAAACAAAAATGAATGCATAACTCTTACCCAAAGAAGATATAGAAGGTAGCTCTGGAATCACACAAAATAGGAGGCTGTGTAATTACTCATTTTACTTGGCTACTTTTGTGAGTAAAAAAGGATGCTATGGACAACTGCTGACAGATACAACAGGCATAACCTGGGACTGACCCAAGCAAACTGGCAACTCTATACTGATTAATGATATCAGTGTTGAGTAAGTAAAGATTCCTTTTTCCTGGGAGCACAAAAGAGAGTAGTTCCTTTGGTTGTTGATGGAATTTGACCTAAACCTTGAAAAATAGCTAGAAGTATTACAGGTAAAGTTAGTTCAAGAAACAAGACATTAGGCTGAGAAGCAGAGCAAGATGGTAGAATGGAAGGCTCTACTGATAGTCCCCTCTTCAAGGACACCAATGTAACAGCTATCCACACAGAAAAAAACACTTCAGAAGAACCAAAAATCAGGTGAGCCATTATGCTACTTGGTTTTATCTTTGTATCACTGAAGAAATAGATCAAAACAGTCTTGAAATGTGGATGCCACCCCTCTCGCAGCCCCTGGCAAGGCTGCAAGCTGGGGAGAGTGTCTCTGGGCATTAGGGGAGGGAGATTACATCAACTGTCAGGCGTTGAACTGAATGCTGTCCTGGTAAAACAGAAAGGAAAACCAGACCAAACTCAGCTGATGTCCGCCCAGGGAAACAGTGTTTAAGCCACCCCTAGCCAGAGGATCCCAACAGTCTGAACTTGAGTTCCCACAAGCCTCGTCACTGTGGGCTACAGTGCCCTGTGTCTCTAATGAACGTAGAGGACAATCTAGACTGTAAAGACTGCAATATTCTTGAAATGTCCGCACTACCCAAGGCCATCTACAGATTCAATGCAATCTCTATCAAATTACCAATGATATTCTTCACAGAAATAGAAATAAAAATCCCATATTTTACATGGAACCACAAAAGACCCAGAATATCACAAACTTTCCTAACTAAAAAGAACAAAACTGGAGGAATTACATTAACTGACTTCAAATTATACTACAGAGTAACAGTAACCAAAACAGCATGGTACTGGCATAAAATCAGACACATAGACCAAAGGAACAGAATAGATAACTCAGAAACAAATCCACATGCCTAGAGTGAACTTACTTTGGACAAAGGTGCAAAGAACATACACTGGGCAAAGGACAGTCTCTTCAATAAATGGTGCTGGGAAAACTAGATATCCATATATAGAAGAATAAAACTAGACTCCTATCTCTCACCATATACAAAAATAAAATCAAAATGGATTAAAGACTTAATCTAAGACATCAAACTATACAACTACCAGAAGAAAACATTGGGGAAAGTCTCCAGGACATTGGCCTGGGCAAAAATTTTTGAGCAATACCCCACAAGCATAGGCAACAAAAGTAAAAATGGGTAAAAAGCATCTCACTGAGGTAAAAAACGTTTCTGCACATCAAAGGAAATAATCAACAAACTGAAGAGATAACCCACAGAATGGGAGAAAACATTTGCAAACTACCCATCTGAAAAGGGATTAAATACCAGACTGTATAAGGAGGTCAAACAACTATAGAAAAAATATATAATAATACAATCGATAAATGGGCAGAACATATGAATAGACATCACTCAAAGAAGATATACAGATAACAACAGGCATATGAAAAGATGCTCAACATCATTCATCATCAGAGCAATGCAAATCAAAACTAAAATGAGATATTATCTTACCCCAGTTAAAATGGCTTATAGTCAAAAGACAGGCAATAACTAATGATGACAAGCATGTGGAGAAAAGGGAATCTTTGTATACTGTTGGTGGGAATGTAAATTTTTACAACCAATTTAAAGAACAGTTTGGAGTTTCCTCAAAAAACTAAAAATTGAGTCACCAAATGATCCAGTAATTCCATTGCTGGATATATACTCCAAAGAAAGGAAATCAGTGTATTGAAGAGATATCTGCACTCCTATGTTTGTTGCAGCACTGTTTGCAATAGCTATGATTAGGAAGTAATCTAAGTGTCTATCGACAGACGAATGGATAAAAAAAAATATGGTACATACACACAATGCAGTACTATTCAGCCATAAAAAAGAACGATATCCAGTCATTTGTAACAACATGGATGGAACTGGAGATCATTATGTTAAGTGAAATAAGTCAGGCACAGAAAGACAAACTTCGCATGTTCTCACATATTTGTGGGAGGTGAAAATTAACATAATTAAATTCATGGAGATATAAAGTAGAAGGATATTTATCTGAGGCTGGAAAGGGTAGTGAGGGTCTGCGGGGAGGGTGGGGATAATTTTAACGGGTACAAAAAATAGAAAGAATGAATGAGACCTACTATTTGAGTGTGCTACAGGATGACTAAAGTCAATAATAACTTAGTTGTACATTTTTAAATAACTTAAAGAGTGATTGTTTGTAACTCAAAGGATAAATGCTTGAGTAGATGGATACACTATTCTCCATGATGTGCTTGTTTTACATTGCATGCCTGTACTGAAACATCTTATGTACTCCATACACACACACACACACACACACACACACGTATATATATACTATCCATCCACAAAAATGAAGAAAAAGACATTGACTAAAAATAGGAAATTTCTCTGGGCACTAAAAGTTTATTTAATACATAAAATAGATTTTTTATAAGACCCACAATTCTGATACAAATCAATAATATTCTTATTTTAAATTTGATTGAACAATATTAAAAAATTAAATCTCATGCACAAGTATACACAAACATTTAATTGCAGCATCAATGCTAGTTAAGATGTATTTGACACTAGTGGCATTAGAATAGGTTTTACGAGGAACAATGCAGGGTGTGATGAATTTGAATGCCAACCTAGGGAAAGGATACATCATTCTGTAAGCAATATTAATTCATCTAAAATTTGATTAGGGAAGAGATACATATTTTGAATAGCAAGATAGTCATACAGTTCTGCAGTGAACTAAAATTATATGAGATATTTATGTTGGATGGGTAAATCTTAATTTAAAATACCAATATTCTCATTAAACATTGTTGATCTTGTGGGATTTGTTACTTCACTTTTCTTTGGAAAAATATGTTCAATCAGTACATGCTACAGATGCTAGTGTTGACAAGCAACGATTATGGATAAGGCAGAGTAAGGAACTCTCCTCTGTTTATAGCCTCCCATATGCCTCATATAACACTCTACAAACTAGATAAAATTTATGTCAAAGTCATTTTTCAAAACAACTAAGACAGTTTGATTAATGTCTTTGATGTCAGTAACAGAATAAGAAACTTACATGAAAAATTACATTTAAATAATGACACAATTAGGCAATAATCTTGAACTGTCATACAGAGTGAGTTAAAATATCAGTTTGTTCAAAAGTTCAATATAATTATGAAATATATATTCATGTATTCCTTAAAACTTTTTTTAAAATTGTGCAGAGTAAATTGAGTATATATGAAGAGGAAAAATAAAGTTTCATGGCTACTAAGTCTATGTTCCATTTTTCAGAGAGTCTTTATATTAAAAGTTTGCAATATACAATTCTGAGAGGATAAATATCCTCATGTTCAATTTCTATAATTAAACATTTTGTTTTTGCTTTCATTAGCATTTTACTAAAGAGATGTTTAAAAAAACTTAAGTTATCACAATCTGCAGTTATTTTCTTCCCAAATCTTTCATGATATACATGTCAATTTCCGGCTTCCACATTTGCATGGTACACTAAAAAATTCCAGGAACTTGCTCTGCCCCAGTAAAAGATGTTTAGGACCATAATGATTGTATTTGAAATGTATTTCCAGGGCGGTTCCAAGATGGCTGAATAGGAACAGCTCCAGTCTACAGCTCCCAGCATGAGTGATTCAGAAGACGAATGATTTCTGCATTTCCAACTGAGGTACCTGGTTCATCTCACTGGGGATTGTCGGACAGTGGGAGTAGGACAGTGGGTGCAGCGCACCAAGTGTGAGCTGAAGCAGGGTGAGGCATCGCCTCACCTGCGAAGCACAAGGGGTCAAGGAATTCTCTTTCCTAGCCAAGGAAAGGGGTGATAGACGGCACCTGGAAAATCGGGTCACTCCCACCCTGATACTGTGCTTTTCCAACGGTCTTAGCAAATGGCATACCAGGATATTATATCCCGCACCTGGCTCGGAGGGTCCTACGCACCCAGAGCATCGCTCATTGCTAGCACAGCCGTCTGAGATCAAACTGCAAGGCGGCAGCGAGGCTGGGGGAGGGGCGCCCACCATTGCTGAGGGTTGAGCAGGTAAACAAAGCGGCCAGGAAGCTCGAATTGGGTGGAGCCCACCACAGCTCAAGGAGGCCTGCCTGCCTCTGTAGAATCTACGTCTGGGGGCATGGCATAGCCAAATAAAAGGCAGCAGAAACCTCTGCAGACTTAAATGTCCCTGTCTGACAGCTTGGAAGACAGTAGTGGTACTCCCAGCGCACAGCTGGAGATCTGAGAACAGACAGACTGCCTCCTCAAGTGGGTCCCTGACCCCTGAGTAGCCTAACTGGGAGGCACCCCCAAGTAGGGGCAGACTGACACCTCACACGGCTGGGTACTCCTCTGAGACAAAACTTCCAGAGGAACGATCAGGCAGCAACATTTGCTGTTCACCAATATTCACTGTTCTGCAGCCTCCACTGCTGATACCCAGGCAATCAGGGTCTGGAGTGCACTTCCGGCAAACTCCAACAGACCTGCAGCTGAGGGTCCTTACTGTTAGAAGGAAAACTAACAAACAGAAAGGACATCCACACCAAAACTCCATCTGTACGTCACCATCATCAAAGAACAAAAGTAGATAAAAATACAAAGATGGGGAAAAAACAGAGCAGAAAAACTGAAAATTCTAAAAATCAGAACACCTCTCCTCCTCCAAAGGAACGCAGCTCCTCATCAGCAACAGAACAAAGCTGGATAGAGAATGACTTTGATGAGTTGAGAGAAGAAGGCTTCAGATGATCAAACTTCTCCGAGCTAAAGGAGGAAGTTCGAACCCATGGCAAAGAAGTTAAAAACGTTGAAAAAAGATTAGACGAATGGCTAACTAGAATAACCAATGCAGAGAAGTCCATAAAGGACCTGATGGAGCTGAAAACCATGGCACAAGAACTACATAGCAAATGCAGAAGCTTCAGTAGCCAATTCGATCAAGTGGAAGGAAGGGTATCAGTGATGGAAGAACAAATGAATGAAATGAAGTGAGAAGAGAAGTTTAGAGAAAAAAGAATAAAAAGAAATGAACAAAGCCTCCAAGAAATATGGGAATATGTGAAAAGACCAAATCTACATCTGATTGGTGTACCTGAAAGTGACGGGGAGAATGGAACCAAGCTGGAAAACACTCTGCATGATATTATCCAGGAGAACTCCCCCAATGTAGCAAGGCAGGCGAACATTCAAATTCAGGAAATACAGAGAATGCCACAAAGATACTCCTCGAGAAGAGCAACTCCAAGACACGTAATAGTCAGATTCACCAAAGTTGAAATGAAGGAAAAAATGTTAAGGGCAGCCAGAGAGAAAGGTCAGGTTACCCACAAAGGGAAGCCATCAAATTAACAGCTGATCTCTTGGCAGAAACTCTACAAGCCAGAAGAGAGTGGGGACCGATATTCAACATTCTTAAAGAAAAGAGTTTTCAACCCAGAATTTCATATCCAGCCAAACTAAGCTTCATAAGTGAAGGAGAAATAAAATACTTTACAGATAAGCAAATGCTGAGAGATTTTGTCACCACCAGGCCTGCCCTAAAAGAGCTCCTGAAGGAAACATTAAATATGGAAAGGAACAATTGGTACCAGCCACTGCAAAAATATGCCAAATTTTAAAGACCATCAAGGCTAGGAAGAAACTGCATCAACTAACAAGCAAAATAACCAGCTAACATCATAATGACAGGATCAAATTCACACATAACAATATTAACCTTAAATGTAAATGGGCTGAATGCTCCCATTAACAGACACAGACTGGCAAATTGGATAAAGAGTCGAGACCCATCAGTGTGCTGTATTCAGGAAACCCATCTCACGTGCAGAGACACACATAGGCTCAAAATAAAGGGATGGAGGAAGATCTACCAAGCAAATGGAAAACAAAAAAAGTCAGGGGTTGCAATCCTAGTCTCTGATAAAACAGACTTTAAACCAACAATATCAAAAGAGAATAAGAAGGCCATTACATAATGGTAAAGGGATCAGTTCAACAAGAAGAGCTAACTATTCTAAATATATATGCACCCAATACAGGAGCACCCAGATTCAAAAAGCAAGTCCTTAGAGACCTACAAAGAGACTTAGACTCCCACACAATAATAATGGGGGACTTTAACACCCCACTGTCAACATTAGACAGATTAATGAGACAGAAAGTTAACAAGGATATCCAGGAATTGAACTCAGCTCTGCACCAAGCAGATCTAACAGACATCTACAGAACTCTTCACCCCAAATCAACAGAATATACATTCTTCTCAGCAACACACCGCACTTATTCCAAAACTGACCACATAGTTGGAAGTAAAGCACTCCTCAGCAAATGTAAAAGAACAGAAATTATGACAAACTGTATCTCAGACCACAGTGCAATCAAACTAGAACTCAGGATTAAGAAACTCACTCAAAACCGCTCAACTACATGGAAACTGAACAACCTGCTCCTGAATGACTACTGGGTACATAACGAAATGAAGGCAGAAATAAAGGTGTTCTTTGAAAGCAACGAGAACAAAGACACAACATACCAGAATCTCTGGGACACATTCAAAGCAGTGTGTAGAGGGAAATTTATAGCACTAAATGACCACAAGAGAAAGCAGGAAAGATCTAAAATTGACACCCTGACATCACAGTTAAAAGAACTAAAGAAGCAAGAGCAATCACATTCAAAAGCTAGCAGATGGCAAGAAATAACTAAGATCAGAGCAGAACTGAAGGAGATAGAGACACAAAAATCCCTTCAAAAAATCAATGAATCCAGGAGCTGATTTTTTGAAAAGATCAACAAAATTGATAGACCACTAGCAAGACTAATAAAGAAGAAAAGAGAGAAGAATCAAATAGATGCAATAAAAAATGATAAAGGGGATATCACCACCGATCCCACAGAAATACAAACTACCATCAGAGAATACTACAAACACCTCTACGCAAATAAACTTGAAAATATAGAAGAAATGGATAAACTCCTGGACACATACACTCTCCCAAGACTGAACCAGGAAGAAGTTGAATCTCTGAATAGACCAGTAACAAGCTCTGAAATTGAAGCAATAATCAATAGCTTACCAACCAGAAAAAGTCCAGGACCAGATGTATTCACAGCCGAATTCTACCAGAGGTACAAGGAGGAACTGGTACCATTCCTTCTGAAATTATTCCAATCAATAGAAAAAGAGGGAATCCTTCCTAACTCATTTTATGAGGCCAGCATCATCCTGATACCAAAGCCTGTCAGAGACACAACAAAAAAAGAGAATTTTAGACAAATATCCCTGATGAACATCAATGCAAAAATCCTCAATAAAGTACTGGCAAACCAAATCCAGCAGCACATCAAAAAGCTTATCCACCATGATCAAGTGGGCTTCATCCCTGGGATGCAAGCCTGGTTCAACATATGCAAATTAATAAACGTAATCCAGCATATAAACCGAACCAATGACAAAAACCACATTATTATCTCAATAGATGCAGAAAAGGCCTTTGACAAAATTCAACAACCCTTCATGCTAAAAACTCTCAATAAATTAGGTATTGATGGGATGTATCTCAAAATAATAAGAGCTATCTATGACAAACCCACAGCCAACATCATACTGAATGGACAAAAACTGGAAGCATTCCCTTTGAAAACTGGCACAAGACAGGGATGCCCTCTCTCACCACTCCTATTAAACATAGTGTTGGAAGTTCTGGCCAGGACAGTCAGGCAGGAGAAGGAAATAAAGGGTATTCAATTAGGAAAAGAGGAAGTCAAATTGTCCCTCTTTGCAGATGGCATGATTGTATATCTAGAAAACCCCATCAACACAGCCCAAAATCTCCTTAAGCTGATAAACAACTTAAGCAAAGTCTCAGGATACAAAATCAATGTGCAAAAACCACAAGCATTCTTATACACCAATAACAGACAAACAGAGCCAAATCATGAGTGAACTCCCATTCACAATTGCTTCAAAGAGAATAAAATACCTAGAAATCCAACTTACAAGGGACGTGAAGGAGCTCTTCAAGGAGAACTGCAAACCACTGCTCAACGAAATAAAAGAGGGTACAAACAAATGGAAGAACTTTCCATGCTCATGGATAGGAAGAATCAATATTGTGAAAATGGCCATACTGCCCAAGGTAATTTATAGATTCAATGCCATCCCCATCAATCTACCAATGACATTCTTCAGAGAACTGGAAAAAAACTACTTTAAAGTTTATATGGAACCAAAAAAGAGCCCACATTGCCAAGTCAATCCTAAGCCAAAAGAACAGAGCTGGAGTCATCACGCTACCTGACTTCAAACTATACTACAAGGCTACAGTAACCAAAACAGCATGGTACTGGTATCAAAACAGAGATATAGACCAATGGAACACAACAGAGCCCTCTGAAATATTGCCGCATATCTACAACTATCTGATCTTTGACAAACCTGACAAAAACAAGAAATGGGGAAAGGATTCTCTATTTAATAAATGGTGCTGGGAGAACTGGCTAGCCATATGTAGAAAGCTGAAACTGGATCCCTTCCTTACACCTTATACAAATATTAATTCAAGATGGATTAAAGACTTAAATGTTACACCTAAAACCATAAAAACCCTAGAAGAAAACCTAGGCAATACCATTCAGGACATAGGCATGGGCAAGGACTTCATGTCTAAAACACAAAAAACAATGGCAACAAAAGCCAAAATTGACAAACGGGATCTAATTAAACTCAAGAGCTTCTGCACAGCAAAAGAAACCACCATCAGAGTGAACAGGCAACCTTCAGAATAGGAGAAAATTTTTGCAATCTACTCATCTGACAAAGGGCTAATATCCAGAATCTACAAAGAACTCAAACAAATTTACAAGAAAAAAAACAAACCCATCAGCAAGTGGGAGAAGGATATGAACAGACACTTCTCAAAAGAAGACATTCATGTAGCCAACAGACACATGAAAAAATGCTCATCATCACTGGCCATCAGAGAAATGCAAATCAAAACCACAATGAGATACCTTCTCACACCAGTTAGAATGGCAATCATTAAAAAGTCAGGGAACAACAGGTGCTGGAGAGGTTGTGGAGAAATAGGAACACTTTTACACTGTTGGTGGGGCTGTAAACTAGTTCAACCATTGTGGACATCAGTGTGGCAATTCCTCAGGGATCTAGAACTACAAATACCATTTGACCCAGCCATCCCATTACTGGGTATATACCCAAAGGATTATAAATCATGCTGCTATAAAGACACATGCACACGTATGTTTATTGCGGCACTATTCACAATAGCAAAGACTTGGAACCAACCCAAATGTCCATCAATGATAGACTGGATTAAGGAACTGTGGCACATATACACCATGGAATACTATGCAGCCATAAAAAAGGATGAGTTCATGTCCTTTGTAGGGACATGGATGAAGCTGGAAACCATCATTCTCAGCAAACTTTCTCAAGGATAGAAAACCAAACACCACATGTTCTCACTCATAGGTGGTAATTGAACAATGAGAACACATGGACACAGGAAGGGGAACATCACACACCAGGGCCTGTCATGGGTTGGGGGGATGGGGGAGGGATAGCATTAGGAGATATACCTAATGTAAATGAGAATGAGAAGTTAATGGGTGCAGCACACCAACATGGCACTTGTGTACATACGTAACAAACCTACACATTGTGCACATGTACCCTAAAGCTTAAAGTATAATAATAAAAAAAGAAATAGAACTAATACTGTAAGTCAAAAACAAATTAAACATCTGATGCTTCTTAAGAAAAAAAAAAGAAATGTAGTTCACTCATAGTCTGCTTAGTTGTGATGCTTTAACTCTACTTCTTGACAGAAACATTTACTCCAAATTCCTGATGTTCTTTAATTTTAAAAACAATATTAGATTTCCTTTTTTTATTATTTTTAATTTTGTGGGAACATAGTATATGTATATATTTATGGGCTACATGAGATATTTTGATATTGCATCGTATACATTTTGTATACATTGTATGCCTGTATAAAAATACATGTCTGACAGGAGAATTGCTTGAATCTGCGAGGCAGAGGTTGTGGTGAGCCAAGATCGCGCCATTGCACTCCAGCCTGGGCAACAAGAGCAAAACTCTGTCTCAAAAAAAAACAAACGAACAAACAAACAAAAAAACCATGTCTGTGTTTTTATACAGGCATAAAATGCATGATAATCACAGCAGGGTAAATGGGGTATCCATCATCTCATGCATTTATCCTTTCTTTGTATTACAAACAATCAAATTATACTCTTGTATTTATTTTTAAATGTACGGTATATTATTATTTACTGTAGTGACCCTGTTATTCTGTCAAATACTAGATTTTATTCATTCTAACTATATTTTTGTACCAATTAAATATCGCTACTTCCTTTTCTCTCCCACCTCCATTACCCTTCCCAGCCTCTGGTAACCATCATTCTACTCTCTGTCTCCATGAGTTTAATTATGTTAATTTTCACCTCAAATAAGTGAGAACAGGTAAAGTTTGTCTTTCTGTGTCTGACTTATTTCGCTTAAAATAATGTCCTCCAATCACAAGGTCAGGAGATCGAGACCATCCTGGCTAACACGGTGAAACTCTGTCTCTACTAAAAAAAATACAAAAAAATTAGCTGGGCATGTTGGTGGGCGCCTGTAGTCTCAGCTACTCGGGAGGCTGAGGCAGGAGAATGGCGTGAACCCGGGACGCAGAGCTTGCAGTGAGCCGAGATGGCGCCACTGCACTCCAGCCTGGGTGACAGAGCAAGACTCCGTCTCAAAAAATAAATAATAATAAGAAGAAGAATGTCCTCCAGTTCCATCAATGTTGTTATAAATGACAGGATCTCATTCTTTATTACAGCCAAATAGTACTCCCTTGTACTACTGTATAAGTATCATCTTTTATTTATCCATTTGTCTTCTGAAGGACACTTAAGTTTCTTCCAAATCTTGGCTGTTGGAAATAATGCTCCAATAAACATGGGAGTGCAGATATATCTTCAATATACTGATTTCTTGCTTTTATATTATACCTAATGATGGGACCGCTGGATAATATGAGAGCTCCTATTATTAGATTTTGAGGAAGCTTCAAACTTTTCTCCGTAGTATCTGTATGAATTTACATTTCCACCAACAGGGTACAAGGGCTCCTTATCTCTGCATCATTGCCAGGGTTTGTTATTGCCTATCTTTTGGATATAAGCCATTTTAACTGGGTTGAGATAGTATCTCCTTTTAGTTTTGATTTGCATTTCTCTGATCATCAATGATGTGGAGCACGTTTTCATATACATGCTTGCCATTTGTATGTCTTCTTTTAAGAAATATCTATTTACATCTTTTGCCCATTTTTAAACTGAATTAATAGGTTTTTTATTTTAGAGTTATTTGAGCTCCTTATATATTCTGATTATTAATCCCTTGTCAGGTGGGCAGTTTTTAAATATGTTTTTCTGTTCTGTAAATTGTCTCTTCATTTTTTGATTACTTCCTTTGCTGTTCAGAGCTTGGTAACTCGATATGATCTCATTTGTCCATTTTGGCTTTAGTTGCTTGTGTTTCTGGGGTATTACTCATGAAATCTTTGCCCACTCCAAAGTCCAAAGATTTTAGCCAGCGTTTTATTGTAGTAGTTTTATAGCTTGATGTCTCAGAATTAAGTTTTTCTTTTGATTGGATTTTTGTATATGGCAAGAGGTAGGGATCTATTTAATTCTTCTGCATATGGATAGCTAGTTTTCCCAGAAAACTAGATATCTTATTGAAAAGACTGTCCTTTACCCAATGTAGGTACTTGCACCTTTGTTTAAAATGAGTTCACTCCAGATGTGTGAATTTGTTTCTGGATTATCTATTCTGTTCTATTGATCTATGTGTTCATTTTTAGGCTAGTACCATGCTGTTTTGGTTACTATGACTCTGTAGTATAATTTGAAGTCAGGTGATGTAATTCCTCTTGTTTCGTTCTTTTTGGTTAGAATAATTTTGGTTATATATAAATTTGGTTATATATAAATTTTAGATATTTTTTTCTATTTTGTGAAGAATGTCCTTGGTATTTTGATAGGGACTGCACTGAATCTGTAGATGGCCTTGGTTAGTGTGGACATTTCAACAATATTGATTCATCCAATCCATGACCATAGAGTATCTTTACATTTTTTGGTGTCTTATTTAATTTTTTTTCCCACCAATATTTTATAGTTTCCATTGTATGTATCTTTCACTTTTTTGGCTAGATTAATTCCTGGGGATTTAGTTTTATTTGTTGCTATTTCAAATTGTGTTACTTTCTAGAAGTCTCTTTCAGATTGTTCACTGTTGGCATATAGAAATGCTACTTATTTTTTATGTTGATTTTTGTATCCTGCAACTTTACTCATTTTTTTATTTGTTTTAATAGTTTTTATGGTGAGGCCTTTAGCTGTTTCCAAATATAAGATCATATCATCTGCAGTTAAGGATAATTTACTTCTATTTTTCCAATTTGGATGGCTTTATTTCTTTCTCTTATTTATTGCTCTAACTGGAACTTTCAGTACTATGTTGAATAATAGTGATGAAAACAGGTATCCTTGTTCAGCTCTAATTTTATTTATTTGTGTCTTCTCTCTCTCTCTGTCCTTTTAGTTATTCTGACTAAAGGTTTGTCATTATTGTTTATCTTTGCAAAACAACAGCTTTCCTTTGGTTGTTCTTTGTGATTTTTGTCATCATTTCAATTTCATTTATTTCTGCTCTGATCTTTGTTATTTTTTTTCTTCTACTAGTTTGGGGTTTGGTTTGCTCTTGCTTTTCTAGTTATTTAAGATGCATATTTAGGTTACTTATTTGAAGTTTTTCTACTTTTTCAATATAGAAGCTTAGAGCTATAAAGGTTCCTCTTAGTACTGCTTTCACTATATCCCACAGGCTTTTATATGTTTTGTTTTCCTTATCATTTGCTTCAAGAAGTGTTTCATTTTTCTTCTTAATGTCTTCATTGACCTGGTGGTCATTCAAAAGCATATTGTTTACTATTCATATGCTGTGTATAGTTTTCAAAATTTCTCTTGTAATTGACTTCTAGTTTTATTCCATTGTGGTCAGATAAGACACTTAATATAATTTTTGTCAGTGATTTAAGACTGTTACCTAACATATGATCTATCCTTGATAATGATTCATGTGCTGAGGTAAAGAATGTGTATTCTGCTGCCGTTGGATGAAATGTTCTGGAAATAACTATTAAGCCCATTTGGTTTATAGTGCAGAACAAGTCTGATGTTTCTTTATTGATTTTCTGTCTGGAAGTTCTGTCCAATGCTGAAAGTGGGGTGTCAATATATCCAGGTATTATTGTATTGGGGGTCTAATTCTCTCTCTAAGCCTAATAATATTTGCTTTATATGTTGGTGCTCCAGTGATGTGTGCATATATATTTACAATTGTATCCTCTTGCTGAACTGACTTCTTTATCATTATATAATAACCTCCTTAGCCTCTTTTTATAGTTTTGATTTTGAAATCTATTTTTCTGATATAAGTAGAGCTACTTCTACATTTTTTGTTTTTATTTGCCCAGAATATCTTTTTCTATCCCCTTATTTTTAGTCTATGTGTATATTTACAGGTTAAGTGTGTTTCTTGTAGGCAACAGATTGTTGGGTCTTGTTCTTCCCTTCATTTAACAAGTTCATGCCTTTGATAGGAAAGTTTAGTCCATCTACATTTAACGTTATTATTAGTAAGTAAGAACCCACTGCTGCCATTTGTCTTATTTCTGATTTATTTTTTAGTTTTTTTCTTCTTTCTTTCCTTCCTTACTGTCTCCCTTATAGTGAAGGTGATTTTTCTCTGGTGTTTTTTTTTTTTAAATTTCTTGCTGTTTTTCTCTATCTGTTGTGTGATTTTGATTTGAGGTTTCCATGAGGATTGCAAATAATGTCTTCTAACCCATTGTATTATACTCATGAAAATATAACACAACTTTTATAAACAAATGACAAACTAACAAACAAGCAAGGAGAAAACTAATAAAAACTCTACACTTGACCTTTGCCTACTTTTTAACTTTTCGTTTATATTTATGTCGCCTAAGTCTTAAAAAGTTGTTGCCATTATTATTTTTAATTGATTCCTCTTTTAGTCTTTCTACTCAAGATGTGAGTCGTTTACATAGCACAATTACAGTGTTATAACATTCTGCATTTGTTTGTGTACTTACTATTACCAGTGAGTTTCATACCTTCAAATAATCTCTTATTGCTTGCTAATGTCCTTTTCTTTCAGATTGAAGATCTCCCTTTAGCATATATTGCAGGGTAAGTCTGGTGTTGATGAAATCCTTCAGCTATTGCTTGTATGTGAAGGTCTTTATTTCTCCTTCAGAAATGAAGTATATTTTCACTGGATATATTATTCTAGGATAAAAGATTTTTTTTTCCTTTTGCACTTTTTGTAATGCCACTTTCTCTTGGCCTATAAAGTTTCTACTGAGAAGTCTCCTGCCAGATATATTGGAGTTTATTTGTGTTATCTGTTTCTTTTCTCTTGCTTCTTTTCATCCTTGACCTTCTGGAATTTGATTATTAAATGTCTTGAGGTAGTCTTATTTGGGTTAATTTTGCTTGGTGTACTAAAACCTCCTTGTACTTTTATCATATTAAAAAGCGTTTATTGGGATATAACCCTATCTTGTTAAGATGCAGCTGAATGCATGAAGAGGGTTATATTCCAATAAACCTATTAGAATTTGAAAATATTGTAAGTCAAAATTGCATTTAATACAAATAGCCTATCAAACATTATAGGTTACCCTAGCCTACCTTGAATGTGCTCAGAAAATTTACCTAAGCCTACAGTTGGGCAAAATCATCTAACACAAATAAATTTCATAATAAAATGTTAAATGTTTCATGTAATTTAATAAATACTGTTCTGAAAGTGAAAAACCAAATAGTTGTATAGGTACTCAAAGTACAGTTTCTACTGAGTGCACATTGCATTTGTACCACTATAATGTTGAAAAATCATTAAGTCAAACCATTGTACACTGGGTATCATCTGTAATAGGTTAAATTTTCATTAATAGTGTATTTTATAGATTTATTCAATTTTGTTGGAATTTTCTCCACATCAGGATAAATTTGTCATACATTGCTAATTATTAAAAATAATTTATGATATGTGCTCTCTCATTTGAAACAATTAAGAGTATTAGTAATGTAGATTAATAGATCCATTGAAATAATGAAGCAGATATGTCAACCTAAGAAGTTTTACCATACTGATAATGAAAATTCAAGATTATAATATAGTTACTTATTGTCAAAAAGTTAGAACAGGTGCGTAAGACCTGCAGGCCCATGTATCCAGGAGTTATTCCACTTGAGAGATAGATGGACTTGTTGAATGCTTTCCTTAATTGTTTAATTAATTAATTTACCTTCAAAACTTCAGTTTTTTTCCTCTATGTTACTATACTTGAATTTGTTGAAGCATTCTTTCAATTATAAATTCTTATATTTTTCAGAATTTTGTACTTTAAAAAATTTTGTATCTGTAAACATATTACTTTCAGCCCAATAGATCTTTTTGCACATTTTCTGATATTTCTTCAAGGCAACATTATACTTACTCTAAAGCTGATCAGTAATTAATTTAGATGGCAGAATGTTCTACTATAGCTGAAATAAGATGTTCTAAAACTAAAATTGTAAAGAACACACAAAATAAATATTTCCACTCATGACCACTTATTATTTATACAAGTTATCTCTAAAAATATTGCATTTAAATGGCTAGATATTAAAAGTAGGCATGATGGGATTTTAGGATTGTTATTAATGCTGAATGTATTAATCTAGGTTATATATTAACCATTGTTTTTGCTTTATGATAATTCATAAAGTCCTCAATGCATTATTTTATTTATTTTACATGTGTGTAAAGTATTTAGAAAGTTTTATTTTAAAATTATGGATTATAATTTATTTGCCAAAAATCCTGTCAATATATTTTTATTTATGTGTACATAACTATGTAACTTTGACCATGGTAAGTTTACAAATGCCAATTATGAGTAAAGTGTTTTTAAGATTTCTGCAAGTTTTCCTTATCCACTTAAGAAATGAAGTCATCCTCAATATCTATGGAGATTGGTTCTAACTCTCTCCTTGACACCAAAATTTGTGGATGTTCAAGGCTTTTATGTAAAATGGTGTAGTATTTGCACATGTTCCCATATACTTTAAGTCATCTCTAGATTATTTATAATACCTAATACCATATAAATTATATGTAAATAGTTGTTTTACTGTATATTTTAGGGAATAGTGACAAGAAAATATTTGTATATGTTCAGTATAGAAGCAACTATCTAGGGCTAACTATATTTTCAATCTGCAGTTGGTTTAATCTGTTGATTAGGAACTCGAGAATAAAGAGGGCCAATTGTATCATTTCCCACTGGTCACTAACAGGAGTAAAGAAAAAATAATCAGTGGAGATTTTATAAAAATGGTTGTTTCTGGACTCAATAGACTAGAAAGAACAAGTAATACTGTGGTAAGAGTCTTTGTTATATTTGAAAAATATAATGAAGAAAAGTAAATCTTCCTTAAGGATAATAGGCAAACATATATTTTTTAAATTTTTTATGTTTATATATTTAGTGAGTACAAATGCAGACTTCTTACATGCATATATTGCGTAATGGTGAAGTCTGGGCTTTTAGTGTACCCATCACCCAAATAGTGAATATTGTAACTAATAGGTAACTTTCCACCTCTCATCTTCCTCCCATGCTCCCACCTTATGAGATTTCTAGTGTCTATTATTCCATTTTGTGTGTTCATGTGTACCCATTGTTTAGCTTCTGTTTATAAGTGAGAACATGCAGTATTTGACTTTCTAGGTTTCTGAGTATGTCACCTAGGATAATGTCCTCCAGTTCTATTCATGTTGTTGCAAAAGATGTGATTTCATTCTTTTTTTATGGCTGAAGAGTATTCCATGGTGTGTGTGTGTGTGTGTGTGTGTGTGTGTGTGTGTGTTTGTGTGATATATACATAAAACATTTTGTTTATCCAGTCCCCTACTGATGGAAATTTAGGTTGATTCCATATCTTTGCTATTGTGAATAGTGCTGCAATAAACATTCTAGTGCAGATATCTTTTGATATGATGATTTCTTTCATTTTGGGTATATATTCAGTAGTGGGATTGCTGGGTCAAATGGTAGTTCTATATTTACTTCTTTGAGACATCTCCATACTGTTTCCCATAGAGATTGTACTATTTTACATTCCCACCAACAGTGGGAGAAATGTATTGGCAAAAACGTATTGAATAGAACATTTAAATATTTGCAAATGCACTGACTAATAAGTCTATAGAAAACCACCTCTAACAAAGACTATGTTAGGAAAAACTGTGGCGCAAGAGAATGTCAGCCACATATTAGTATTTTTATATAGTGTTATGAAACAGGAATTGGAGTCCATTTCAGCTAAAGCTAAGACATTTGTTTTGGCCCTCGGAAAATGCTAAACATACTTAATAGATGGAAAGAAGGTAGGGATATGGGTGTAGATATCATAATTCTATGTGAAATACTCTCAATTGAGTACATAAATTTGTATATATCTTCACTCCAAAATAGTGTATTCATTGTGTATGAATATATATACACATATACGTATTTCCATGAACCATGATATAAATTTGCTAATTAGCAATATATTAGTATACTGTGTAGTTTGGCTAAATATACACGAATATAAATCTATGTTAATTTCAATGTTTAAAAATATTTCTGTTTCAAGTCGCTTCATAAATCTATAACAATTTCAATATGATTGAATAATATTGTATACATGTGGATGCGTAAATTTACAAATTTGGGTTCTTAGGTCATATGCATATTTTAATAGCAACATAGCAACATAGACTGAAATAGAATACCAAGCTTTATATCTGTCTAAAATCCAATAACACATGCTTAGGGCATCCTCCTGTTTGGGAGCAGGTTCAAACAACAGGCACAACTGCAGTTTTACTTCTAAACAGAAAATCAAATTGAGGGAATTACAGTGATTTTAATGAATATTTCTCTATCTTGATGAATTATTCTGCTTTATTTTAGAAGTTTATTTCAGTCTAAGTAACTGAGATTGATTATCCTCTATCTGCCATCTGTTCCCATTTGCCATTACCACAGCATCCAAAATTACTTTGAACATTTTTCGAAACATTTTACAATGTTCATACTTTAGCTTACATTTTAAATTGTATGCTGTGAAAAACATACAGATATCATGTATTCCATTAATAATGCATCACAAAAGGGTGGTAATTTGGCAAATATTACTAATCAAATATTTGGACAATATTAAAATTGATTTTGTGTTAAATCAGCAATGAATTCCTTTCTTAAAAGATTTAGAGAATTTAAAGGAGATATCACCTGACTTTGAGAAAGTATAACACATGATACATGTAAATATGGATGTTAAATATAAGCATATATGTGTATATCCATGTATACACGCATACACTTATACACATGTGTGTATTCATATGTTTGTGTATATGTGTACATATTTGTGTATGTGTATGCATGTGTGTGTGCTTGCATATATATATACTTCCAATTGCTATAAAAAATTACCATAAACTAAGTGGCTTAAAACAACACAAATTGTTGTTCATGTCTGACTCCTAGAACTGTAAGACTCTAGGAATCAACATTCTAACATGGGTCTCACTTGGCCAAAGTCAATACATCAGCAGGACTGCACTCCTTCATGGAGATTCTAAGAGAGAACATATTTTCTTGTCTTTTCTAGTGGCCACTTATATTATTTGACTTTGTGACCCCTTCTTCCATTTTCAAAGCCAGCAATAGTGGGCAGAGTCCTCATGCTGCTATCTCTCTAGTTCTGTAGATAGAAAAGATTCTTTGCTTTTAAGGATTCAAGTGATACATTAGACTCACCTGGAATATCCAGAATAATCTTTCCATCTATATATACTTAAGCTTAACTGTGTCCGCAAAGACTCTTTTGCTATGTAAAATAACATATTCAATAATTCTGAGGATTGGGGTATGGATATCTTAGGGGGCTGTATCTTGTATAAATCCCCCATAGAATATGAGTTCTATCCAGTAATATCAAAAGTCATTTGATGTAAAACTTGAAATTACAAACGCCACCTTTAAGCTTAAGATGAGTCATGCAATATAGCACACATTGTATATTTTGCATAAGTTTTGTCTCCATAAACTTCCATATTTACAAAGAAACACAAATTTGTGACCTAAATATCAAATTGTTGACAATAAGGCATAGACTAGGAAGAGATATATTCAATCAGGGGGGATCTCAGGATCTCCAAACAGAAAATTGTCAACAATACATTATACTGCACACTTGTCTAAAAGAAAGACAATAAGAAAAAAATAGGGGTCTAGTAATCTTCTGTATATTTTGCTTAGGAATACTGTTTTTAAATTAATATTATGTGTGTGTATATATATATATATATATATAAAATGAATGTTTAACATTCCTCAAAACTATAACCAGTTATATAAATCCCAGTAAGTCTACTTTTAATATCATTTGTTTTTTTTCCTTTGACCTACTTTTCTATTCTTGTATACATACCAGTATCATAATTTGTGTGTTTTAAACTTCCATATTTTTCTACCCATTTATAATATTATCAGAAATGTCAACTTATTAAAATTAAATTTTTAAAGAATTTAAAACTTTACATTAAAACTTACAGAACATTGACAAGAGAAAGTTTAAAAGACAAAAAGAGTAGATATATAATCATGCTGATAAATCAGAAAACTCAACGATTTAGATTCATGTCTTCCCCAAATTGAATGCAACCCCAATTAAAATATCAGCATTTTTCAAAGCTGACTATGTAATTCTAAATTTCACGTAGAAATGTAAAATAACCAGAATAGTTATAAAAATATTAAAGAGAAGGACAGTGTCAGCTAACTCTGTCACCTAATATCAAGATTTACTTGAAATTTTTACTATGTAAGAAGCGTGAACTTGGCAAAATGATAAGCTAAGAGATTAAGTAAACCAAATAGAGAATACAAATACAGACCTACACATATATAAAAAATTAAATTTGAGCTGGATCATAGGTGAAACTAAAATATAAAATTATATACCTAGGGAATAAAAAAACCAAAAAGTATATATTTATAACTCGATTATGATTCAAGAATGTATATATTTATTGATAAGATACAAAAAGGATTAACTGTAAAAGTAAACATTTATAAATTTGACTTTATTAAAATTGAGATTTTTTGGTCACCAAAAGGCGTGACTGAAAAGGCAAGCCAGGACTCATATCAAGATTACATAATGTATACTTACAAATAAATAGCCAATAGTCAGATAACACAATTGAAGAAAAAACAGCAAACATTTTAAATCTCACTTCATGAAAGAATAAATGCAGAATACCTGTAAGCACATGTAATGATTCTCAATATCATTAGTCATTAGGAATATGCAAATTAAAGTCTCTATTAAATACTAATATACCTATCAGAGGAGTTTTTAAAAATTTTAATCACAATACTGACTTTGATGAATATGCGGGGTAACTGGGACTCTGTTATACTGCTTTTAATGTTAAGTGTTACAACCACTTTTGAAAACTACAAAAAAAGTATATACTAATGCTAAATATATACATTTCTTGTGACTCAATTATCTCTCTTCTATAAATATGTACAGAAACAAGCACCTATGTACACCAAAGATGTGTAGAAGAAAGTTTGTATTTTTTTATAATATTTATTTATAATAGCCTCAAAGTAGAAAAACTTAATACCCATGAACACTAACCTGCTACAGAATAATCAGTACATCCCAGATATTCTTGTTAATTAAAGTATACTAGTACCACATGGCTGACTGGCTTTGTCACTGGCTGACAGCAGAGCTCCAGGACCTTGAGTGAACGTAGGCAGTAGCCAGAGAATGGTTGTAGCAAGTCTTGGGTGAGAACTAGTGCTGTACTGGCTTCAGGTTTAATCCAGTGCAGTCATAGAGGTGGTGGCCAAAAGAGTGCCTGTGTCACTTCACCCCCAGCTTTAGGTAGCTCAGAACAGAAAGCCTCTGTTTGGGATAAACTAATGAAAGAGAACAAGACTCTCTGCATGGTAATCCAGCTAATTCTCCCATTTTTTTTTTTATTGGCAGAATTTTATTCTTTTTTTTTCTGTGGGTAATTGATTTTAATACAATTACACATTCGTTCTGTGATGTAACAACTTTCACTTCATTTGTAGGACTACTTTTCTCAATTGACTCATGACAAAGGCACAATACAAAAGGATACAGTAATATTACAATAATAGTTTTGAACAAATGTGGACAAAGGACCAATCTGCAGTATTAAATAGAAAACATTTAAGTATGGATTAACTTGAATATATTTTCATTCCAGACAATATTTTTACTTTTCAACATTGTCTCATTTTACTATGATGGCAGTTTAGGTGCCTGGTGAGTTATTCTTAATATCCATTCAACATATAACAATTATAATTAAGCATTTACATACTGGATAGACAAAAGAACCCAGATTTTTAAATATCTCTGATATTTTAAATAAATTCTTCTGCTAATTCACTTATTTTTCCATTTCAGTGATTACTCTGAAATTAAATGTTTTTTCTTCTACTTATAGAATCGAGTAACTCAGCTATTTTACTTTAAATACATGTGAATTTAACCAAGGTTTATTAAACAAATTGAAGAAAAGCCTTCCAATCATAGTGCTTAAAAGCAATGTAATATATAAAATGTTACAATCAGGCTGATTTGTTTCCTTGATGGAAATTTTTGGTTTCAAAAGAAACAGTAGGTATTTAAAGATACTGAAGCAACATAAGACTATTTTGTTTTGTAAAAAAAGAACCATTTAAAGATGCTGTTCTGCAGCTTATAAAGAACAGCATATAAAATTAAGTGTTAAAACACCAAAAAGAGATGTTATTTTTAAGCATTTGCTAAGTTAGAATCCTTTCTCATGAGTCTCTGAATATTTGGAACGTGTTTAGAGTCATCAAAATATAATTCTGGAAATAAACAAATAAATTAACATTTTTATTTTATGTGATTTTACAAATCTAGGTCTTCTGAGTCACTAAGATACTAAGCTTCAGTGTCTTAGTCTTTTCAGTTATAAAGTAACATGTTACTTCTCTGCCTAGCTATTTCATTACCTGTAAGACCTAATTTTTTTTTATTTTACTTTAAGTTCCAGATACATGTGCAGAACGTGCAGGTTTGTTAAATAGGTATACATATGCCATGGTGGTTTGCTGTACCTATTGACCCGTCCTCTAAGTTCCTTCCCCTCACCCCTCAGCTCACAACAGGCCCTGGGTGTGATGTTTCCCTCTCTGTGTCCATGTGTTCTCATTGTTCAACTCCCACTTATGAGTGAAAATCTGACAAAAGTCTAATATCCAGAATTTACAACAAACTTAAACAAATTTACAAGGAAAAAAAAAACAACCCCATCAAAAGAGGGAGAAGGATATAAACAGATACTTCTCAAAAGAAGACATTTAGTGGCCAATAAACATATGTAAAAAAGCTCAACATCACTGATCATTAGAGAAATGCATATCAAAACCCCAATGAGATACCATCTCATGCCAGTCAGAATGGCGATTATTAAAATGTCAAGAAACAATAGATGCTGGTGAGGCTGTGGAGAAACTGGAATGCTTTTACACTGTTGGTGTGAATGTAAATTAGTTCAACCATTGTGGAAGACAGTGTGGTGATTCCTCAATGATCTAGAACCAGAAATATCATTTAACCCAGTAATCCCATTACTGGGTATATACCCAAAGGAATATAAATTATTTGACTATAAAGACACATGCACACATATGTTTATTGCAGCACTATTTACAATAGCAAAGTCATGGAACCAAGCTAAGTGTCCATCAATAATAGACTGGATAAAGAAAATGTGGGACATAAACACCATGGAATGCTATTCAGCCATAAAAAGGAATGAGATCATGTCCTTTGCAAGGACATGGATTAAGCTGGAAGCCATCATCCTCAGCAAACTAACACAGGAAAAGAAAACCAGCTCTTGTACAAGATCATCATGGTGGTACCTCTAGAAGTCTGCAAGAACCATAGTGTTACTGGGTTTGGGGTGTGCCCTAATGCATAAACAGCTTAGCTCACAATACCAAAGTCATTTCAAATAACTGGAAAGCCTTCCCAAGAAGGATGGTTATAAATAAGCCCAGACAGTGATGACTACAATGACTACCTAACTCTTCAATGCCCAGACACCAAAAAACATACAATGGAGACACACACACACAAAAAAGCAAGACACTAAATTAAATCACCAGCTAAAATCAATCACCTTCACTATAAGGAAGACATAAAGGAAAGAAAAAAGCAAGGGAAGATGACAAAGCAATCAGAAAACAAATAACTGAATGGCAGGAGTAAGTCCTTACTTATCAATAACAACATTGAATGTAAATGGACTAAACACTCCAATGAAAAGACACAGATTAGCTGAATGGATGAAGAAACACACTTCACCTATAAAGACACACCTAGACTAAAAATCAAAGGATGAATAAAGTTATTCCATGTCAATGGAAACCAGAAAATAGCAGGAGTTGTTGTATTTATATTAGAAAAAATAGATGTCAAGACCAAAACTATAAGAAGAGACAAAAAAATCACTATATAAAGATAAAGAGGTCATTTCAGTAAGAGAATATAAAAATTTTAACTACATATTCACCCAACACTGGAGCATGCAGATACATAAAGAAAATATTATTAGAACAAAAGGTAGAGATAAGCCCCAATACAATCATAGCTGGATACTTTGACACCTCACTTTAAGCATTGGACAGATCTTCCAAACAGAAAATTAACAAAGAAACATTAGACTTAATCTGCATTGTAGACCAAAAGATTTAATAGACATATACAGAACATTCCATCCAAGAGCTGCAGAATATACATTATTTTTCTCAGTGCATGGATCATTCTCTTTATAAATATAATATCTGTTAATAGTATATTTACAATAAAAAATATTAAATATATTGTTTCATAAAATAAAAAAATATTTAAATTTTACATTTTTTCTAGAAAAATTTTAATACATTCTAAATTGTTCATTTTATTTAGAGATGGGCGCAATTTTTCACTAGTTAACTAAATTTATTTTATAATTGTTTTGTGGGTGAAATTATTGAAACATTGCCAGGCCAGCCACTATTTTAAAATTGTAATAGCTAGCACATTTGGAAAATTTATAGATGTAGAAAAGTAATTTAGATACAGAGTTAAATTTCAGCAAAGTAGAACTGTGAAAAAAATTATGACCACTAAATAAGTGTGTTTTTCTTGTTTTAAAGCTTTTATCAAATTTTCTCAGAAAATGTTTAATTTTCTGAGAAAAACACATTAATTAATTACATATAAAAATGTTGTTCTGTAAATAGTTCAACTTGTAAAATATAGTTTTGCTTGTAGATATTACATTAAATATTTTCATAGGTTACATTATGAACACATCTATTAACATATTGATATTTTTTCATTTTATTTACTCATATTGATACTCTTATAATCCTGACACAACACTTTCTTAAAAGAAAGCCATTCTTAGTTAAAGTAATAACTAAGTTCAACATATACACATTAATTAAATGAGTAAATGAGTTCTTCAAAAGTTTTCTAGAAAATATGCTGAAAATATTGTTAAAATATATAAAACTAATAAATTCGCATAATAAATAAATATAGATTCTCCACATATGTTACCTGAAATGCAATGCAATTTCAAGAAATATTTAATCATCGTATTAGAAAGGTAATTTGGTTATACTTAGATTAAGAATTGTATTAAAAAGTATTTTGTGTGAAACCATCAAATTCTATATAAAATATTACATTACTAACCTAAACTTATCTAACTTAAAAAAGGAAAAAATTTGTGAGGATATTTTACATATTACTAATTTAAAAAATCAATTCACTTAAACCATAATGTGTTTTTGTAATGTAAAAGGGATTTGCAGATTGAAAAGAAGCTATGAATAAAATATCAAAATACCAGTTATTATAGCTTGCCACATAATTTAGCCTTTTTTGTATTTCACCATTCCTTTTTTTAAAAAGGTATTAAAATATCACCTAGTGTGTTATTTTCTATTAATATTTGAGGCTCTATTATTTTTATTTGAATTTTTCTTTTGCCCCAAAGAAATAGGTACCTATTGATTGCGAACGGAAAAATATGACACTATTTTTCTTTGAAAATATGTATCCATTTTTGTGATCTTTACAGCTACTAGTGAGCAAGAAGCTCTTTTAAAATATTGTGAAGCCTATATTTTGTATAATAAACAACATTCTGTAAGTCATTACTCTTGTGATCTAGTTAGAAATTTCATGATATTTGATCAGGAATTAAGAGTGAGATGTATAGATTAGTATAAAAAGCCTGCATTATTATGAAAAGCCTCTATAGATTGGGAGAGACTATTGTCACCAATGTAGTTTGTATACATTCAAAGTGGCCTTCAGTATTGGATTTTCTTTGGAAATCTGTATTCTTGGAGAGTTACCAACAATTTTAGTACATACAAAAGAGAGCATAAGAATCATTGAAATTAAGCCATGTGAACACCAGTTCATTTGTTTTACAGAATTCTAGAGTGAGACAAGTTCTTCGTGTCTAATATGTGAAGATTTCCTGTGCAAAATTTTTGTTTTGTATTAATTCAGAACAGAGAGGACATTCCCAGGCAAGATGACCGAATAGTAACAGCTCCAGTCTGCAGCTCCCAGAGAGATCAATGCAGAAGGTTGCTGATTTCTGCATTTCCAACTGAGATACCTGGCTTATCTCATTGGGACTGGTTAGACAGTGAGTGCAGCCCATGGAGGGTAAGCAGATATAGGTTGGGCCATTGCCTCACCCAAGAAGCACAAGGGGTTGGGGAATTCCCTCACCTAGCCAAGGGAAGCCTTGAGGGACCTTGCTGTGAGGGACAGTGCTATCTGGCCCAGATACTATGCTTTCCCTATGGTCTTCACAACCCGCAGATCAGGAGATTCCCTTGGGTGCCTACACCACAAGGGCCCTGGGTTTCAAGCACAAAACTGGTTGGCTGTTTGGGAAGACACCGAGCTAGCTGCAGGAACTTTTTTCCTACCCCAGTGGTGCCTGGAACACCAGCAAGACAGAACTGTTCACTCCTCTGGAAAGGGGGCTGAAGCCAGGGAGCCAAGTGGTCTTGCTCAGTGGATCCCACCCCTATGGAGCCCAGCAAGCTAAGGTCCACTGGCTTCAAATTCTCACTGCCAGCGCAGCAGTCTGAAGTCAGCCTGGGACTCTCGAGCTTGGTAGGGGGGAGGGGAGACTGCTATTACTGAGGCTTGAGTAAGTTGTTTTCCACTCACAGTGTAAACAAAGCCACAGGGAAGTTCAGACTGGGTGGGGCCCACCGCAGCACCAGGAAGCCATTGTAGCCAGACTGACTCTCTAGATTCCTCCTCTGTGGGCAGGGCATTTCTAAAAGAATGGCAGCAGCCCCTGTCAGGGGCTTATAGATAAAACTCCCATCTCCCTGGGACAGAGAAACTGGGGGAAGGGGTGGCTGTGGGCACAGATTCAGTAGACTTAAACGTTCCTGCCTGCTGGCTTTGAAGAGAGCAGTGGATTACCTAGCACAGTGCTGAAGCTCTCCTAAGGCACAGACTGCCTCCTTTTGTGGGTCCCTGATCCCCATGCCTCCAGATGGTGAGATACCTCCCAGCAGCGATCAACAGACACCTCATACAGGAGAGCTCTAGCTGGCATCTGGTGGGACAAAGCTTTCAGAGGAAGGAGCAGGCAGCAATCTTTGCTGTTCTGTAGCCTCTGCTGGTGATATCCAGGCAAACAGGGTCTGGAGTGGACCCTCAGCAAATTCCAGTAGACCTTCTGAAGAGGGGCCTGACTGTTAGAAGGAAAACTAACAAACAGAAATCAACATCAAAAAAAAGAATGACCATGCAAAAACTCCATCTGAAGGTCACCAACAGCAAAGACCAAAGGTAGATAAATCCAAGAAGATGAGGAAAAACCAGTGCAAAAAGGCTGAAAATTCCAGAAACCAAAATGGCCCTTCTTCCCCAAAGGATCACAACTCCTCGCCAGCAAAGGAACAAAACTGGATGGAGAATGAGTTGTACAAATTGACAGAAGTAGGCTTCTGAAGGTTGGCAATAACCAACTCCTCTGAGCTAAAGGAGCATGTTCTAATCCAATGCAAGAAAGCTAAGAACCTTGATAAAAGGTTGGAGGAATTGCTAACTAGAATAATCAGCTTAGAGAAGAACATAAATGACCTGATGGAGCTGAAAAACACACCACAAGAACTTTGTGAAGCATACACAAGTATCAATAGCTGAATCAACCAAGCAGAAGAAAGGATATCAGAGATTGACGATCCACTTAATGAAATAAAGCATGAAGACGTGATTAAAGAAAAAATGAAAATGAATGAGCAAACCCTCCAAGAAATATGGGACTATGTAAAAAGACCAAACCTACATTTGATTGCTGTACCTGACAGTGACGGGGAGAATGGAACCATGTTGGAAAACACACTTCAAATTATTATCCAGGAGAACTTCCCCAAATTGGTAAGACAGGCCAACATTCAAATTCAGGAAATACAGAGAACACCACTAAGATACTCCTCGAGAAGAGCACCCACAAGACACATAATTGTCAGATTCACCAAGGCTGAAATGAAGGAAAATATGTTAAGGGCGGCCATACAGAAAGGTCAGGTTACCACCAAAGGGAAGCCCATCCAACTAACAGCGGATCTCTCTGCAGAAACCATACAAGCCAGAAGAAAGTGAGGGCCAATATTCAACATTCTTAAAGAAAAGCATTTTCAACCCAGAATTTCATATCCAGCAAAACTAAGCTTCGTAAGTGAAGGAGAAATAAAATCCTTTACAGACAAGCAAATGCTAAGGGATTTTGTCACCACTAGGACTGCCTTACAAGAGCTCCTGAAGGAAGCACTAAATATGGAAAGTAAAAACCAGTATCAGCCACTGCAAAAACAAAGCAAAATGTAAATACCATTGACACTATGAAAAAATTGCATTAACCAATGGGCAAAAGAACAGGCTAGCATCAAAATAACAGGTTCAAATTCACATATAACAATATTAATCTTAAATGTAAATAAGCTAAATGCCCCAACTAAAAGGCACAGATTGGCAAATTGGATAGAGCCAAGACCTATCGGCCTGCTGTATTCAGCACAACCATCTCATGTGCAAAGACACACATAGGCTCAAAATAAAGGGATGAAGAAGGTTCACAAAGCAAATGGAAAGGAAAAAAAAAAAAAGCAGGTGTTGCCATCCTAGTGTATGATATAACAGACTTTAAACCAACAAAGACCAAAAAAGACAAAGAAGGGCATTACATAATGGTAAAGGGATCAATTCAACGAGAAGAGCTAACTATCCTAAATATATACACATCCAATACATGAGCACCAAGATTCATAAAGCAAGTTCTTAGAGACCAGCAAAGAGACTTAGACTCCCACACAATACTAGCTAGAGACTTTAACAACCCACTGTCAATATTAGACAGATCAACGAAACAGAAGATTAACAAGAATATTCAGGACTTGAACTCAGCTCTGGACCAAGCAGACCCAATAGACATCTACAAGTCTCCACCCCAAATCAACAGAATATACATTCTTCTCAGCACCACATCACACTTATTCCAAAATTGACCGCATAGTTGGAAGTAAAACATTCCTGAGCAAATGCAAAAGAACAGAAATCAAAACAAACAGTTTCTTAGACCACAGTGCAATCAAATTAGAACTCAGGATTAAGAAACTCACTCAAAACCGCACAACTACATGGAAATTGAACAACCTGCTCCTGATTGACTACTTGGTAAATAATGAAATTAAGGCAGAAATAAATAAGTTCTTTGAAACCAATGAGAACAAAGAACCAACGTACTAGAATCTCTATGACACAGCTAAGGCAGTGTTTAGAGGGAAATTTATAGTACTAAATGCCCACAGGAGAAAGTGGGAAAGATCTAAAATGCACACCTTAACATCACAATTAAAAAAACTAGAGATGCAAAAGCAAACAAATTCAAAGCTAGCAGAAGACAAGAAATAACTAAGATCAGAGCAGAACTGAAGGAGATAGAGACATGAAAAACCCTCCAAAAAATCAATGAATCCAGGAGCTGGTTCTTTGAAAAGATTAACAAAATAGACAGACCACTAGCCAGACTAATAAAGAAGAAAAGAGAGAAGAATCAAATAAACACAATAAAAAATGGTAATGGGAAGATCACCACTGATCCCACAGAAATAGAAACTACCATCAGAAAATACTATAAACACCTCTATGCAAATAAAGTAGAAAATCTAGAAGAAATAGGTAAATTCCTGGACACATACACCCTCCCAAGACTAAACCAGGAAGAAGTCCAATCCCTGAATAGACCAATAGCAAGTTCTGAAATTGAGGCAGCAATTAATAGCCTACCAACTAAAAAAGCCCATGACCAGACGGATTCACAGCTGAATTCTATCAGAGGTATAAAGGGGAGCTGGTACCATTCCTTCTGAAACTATTCCAAACAATAGAAAAAGAGGAGCTCCTCCCTAACTCATTTTATGAGGCCAGCATCATCCTGATACCAAAATCTGGCAGAGACACAACAACAACAAAAAATTTTAGGCCAATATCCCTGATGAACATCGATGCAAAAATCATCAATAAAATACTGGCAAACCAAATCCAGCAGCACATTAAAAAGCTTATCCACCACAATCAAGTTGGCTTCTTCCCTAGGATGCAAGGCTGATTCAACATACACAAATCAATAAACGTAATCCATCACATTAACAGAACCAATGACAAAAAATACATGAGTATCTCAATAGATGCTGAAAAGGCCTTTGATAAAATTCAACACCCCATCATGCTAAAAACACTCAATAAACTAGTTATTGATGGAACATATCTCAAAATAATAAGAGCTATTTACGACAAACCCACAGCCAATATCATACTGAATGGGCAAAAACTGGAAGCATTCCCTTTGAAAACTGGTACAAGACAAGGATGCCGTCTCCCGCCACTCCTATTCAACACAGTATTTGAAGTTCTGGCCAGGGCAATCAGGCAAGAGAAAGAAAGTGCATTCAAATAGGAAGAGAGGAAGTCAAATTGTCTTTGGCTGCAGATGACATGATTGTATATTTAGAAAACTCCTCAGTATCAGCCCAAAAATTTCACATTCTGATAAACAACTTCAGCAAAGTCTCAGGATACAAAATCAAAGTGCAAAAATCACAAGCATTCCTATACACCAATAATAGCCAAACAGAGAGCCAAATCATGAGTGAACTTCTATTCACAATTGCTAAAAAGATAATAAAATACCTAGGAATCCAACTTACAAGAGATGTGAAGGACCTCTTCAAGGAGAATGACAAACAACTGCTAAAAGAAATAAGAGAGGAGACAAATAAATGGCAACACCTTCCATGCTCATGGATTGGAAGAATCAATATCATGAAAATGGCCATACTGCCAAAAGTAATTTATATATTCAATGCTATCCCCAACAAGCTGCCATTGACTTTCTTCACAGAATTAGAGAAAACTACTTTAAATTTCATATGGAACCCAAAAAGAGCCCATGTAACCAAGATAGTCCTAAGCAAAAGGAACAAAGCTGGAGGCATCACGCTACCTGACTTCAAACTACGCTACAAAGCTACAGTAACCAAAACAACATGGTACTGGTACCAAGACAGATATATAGACCAATGGAATAGAACAGAGGCCTCAGAAATAACACCAAACATCTACAACCATCTGATCTTTGACAAACCTGACAAAAACAAACAATGGAAAAAGATTCCCTATTTAATAAATGGTGTTGGGAAAACTGGCTAGCCATATGCAGAAAACAGAAACTGGACCCCTTCCTTACACCTTATATAAAAATTAATTCAAGATGGATTAAAGATTTAAACATAAGACCCAAAACCATAAAAACCCTAGAAGAAACCTTAGGTAATACCACTCAGGACATAGGCATAGGCAAAGACTTCATGACTAAAACATCAAAAGCAATTGCAACACAAGCCAAAATTGACAATTGGGATGTAATTAAACTAAAGAGCTTCTGCACAACAAAAGAAACTAACATCAGAGTGAACAGGCAACCTACAGAATGGGAGAAATTTTTTGCAATCTATGCATCTGAAAAAGTGCTAATATCCAGAATCTACAAGGAACTTAAATTTTCAAGAAAAAAACAAACAGTCCTATCAAAAAGTGGGCAAAGAATATGAACAGACACTTTTCAAAATAAGACATTTATGCAGCCAGTAAACATACGAAAAAAATCTCACCATCACTGGTCATTAGAGAAATACAAATCAAAACCACAATGGGATACCATCTCACCAGTTAAAAAGGTGATCATTAAAAAGACAGGAAACAACAGATGCTTGAGACGATGTGGAGAAATAGGAACACTTTTACACTGTTGGTGGGAGTGTAATTAGTTCAACCATTGTGGAAGACAGTGTGGTGATTCCTCAAGGACCTAGAACTAGAAATACCATTTTCCTCAGCAATCTCATTACTGGGTATATACCCAAAGGATTGTAAATCATTCTGCCATAAACACACATGCACACATATGTTTATTGCAGCACTGTTCACAATAGCAAAAACTTGGAACCAACCCAAATGCCCATTAATGTTAGACTAGGTAGAGAAAATGTGTCACATATACACCATGGAATACTATGCAGCCATAAAAAAGATTGAGTTCATGTCCTTTGCAGGGACATGAATGAAACTGGAAACCATCATTCTGAGCAAACTAACACAGTAACAGGAAACCAAACACCGCATGTTCTCACTCATAAGTGGGAGTTGAACAATGAGAACATATGGGCACAGGGAGGGGAACATTACACACCAGGGCCTGTCAGGGGATGGGGGGCTAGGGGATGGATAGCATTAGCAGAAACACCTAATGTAGATGACGGGTTGATGGATGCAAAGAATCATCGTGGCACATGTATACCTATGTAACAAACCTGGACGATCTGCACATGTATCCCAGAACTTAAAGTAAAATAAATAAATAAATAAATAACTGAGAAAATTATCTAAAAGTAGAAAATATCAAAAATGCTAATTTCCAATAAAAAATAGAAATTTGCAAAATACAACAGAACTCTGCAGTATTATTTGTTAAGGCAATGAGATTGAAAATACTATCTTTTGAAAATAACCATAAGCAACTGACCAATATGCAACGGTTCTTTTTAAGTGAGAGGGTTACTATCAAAAATAAATTCTTATATTGATTATATTACTATAGTAATGGAAACATGATAATTCATACTAAATTAGGCAGAAATGCTAGTAAGATTGTAAATTTAGGGATTGTAGTAATAATATTTGAAATTCTTATTTTTCAAAGTGCTATGCTGCCAAATTAAATCTTGAATGGAAATTGATGTTTCATTTGATTCTATAATTATTGACTTTGTCATGAACTTGCTACTCACTGAAGATAGTCATAAATGATTGCCAGCTGTGGACAGCAGGTAGAGAAGTTGCAAATTGAGCAGTAATTTCAACCTCCTATTCAGGATTCTCTGAATGAATGCTGTAGAAATGATAGGGACTGTCATTTTGAGCCTTATTTATAATCACTATACAATCTCAGCCATTCAAGGCAACTGTTTATATGATCGCAATTGAATATTACTAATTAAAACTTATAAAATGGGCATGCCACTTTAAAACAAAAAAGTCCCACTTATGAGTGAGAACATGTGGTGGTTTTTATTTTATTTTAAAATAAAAAGTCTTGTACTTTTCTTCTTTGGTATCTAAAAATCTATATTTTAATTGGTGGAAAATTCTTAAAAATGAATGACTATTTTCTCATAAACTAATAAAAGAGCACTAAGAATTACATTAACATTGTATATTATTCCAAAACATTTGTGAGTGCAGCCTGAAATTTCCTATGAAAATATGCTTGTCTTTTCTCCAATGTGGAGTGAAAGACAAACCTTGCTAGAGAAGAGGAGATTCAATTCTGAAATATTTGTACTCAATGTATATTTAACAATGTAAATTGTAGCCTGGCTTAATAGTTTAAAACACATTTAAAATTATGTTATGGCTTTATGTTCTGAGATTATTAATTTGCTGAAAATGTGTATTTTTAGGCTATAATTGGTCATTATTTTGCTGAAGTAAAACATCTTTTGCCTACAGTATTGAATATATACATTTATTTTTGTCGGCAAAAAATCAGTATTATCTGCAAGAAGCATCAGTTACCAAGTGAAAGAATATAAGGTAAAATAATTAGGAAATAGATAACCTACTTAGACTACCATTTTCTGATAGCAAAACAACAGATTTTACTTTCTCTTGAAATTTAGTGACCTCACAAGAACATGGATTACCTGTAAATCATTTAGGCTTTAGGCTATTTTGGATTTGGAGTTACAATGTTCTTTGTATATTATGTTAAGACTATGTGGAGTTGAATAGTGACCTAATGATTATTTCTCCAGTTAGGTTTGTCATTAATTTATTGCATTTTAGTAAGATTTCTATTTGTCTTTTGCTCCCCAACAATAAGCCAGATTCTATTTCTTGACAGAAGGCTTAGAAGGCAGAAACAACTTACACTTCTGTCTGTTTATGACACTCATTTGAATGATGTATTCATGAGTTGGCAGAGGTGCAGCCAGATAGCCTGGCATAGCTGATTATAATGTCTTAGCAAATGAAGAGAGCCCTAGGGCATTAAAAATTCTCAGCCATTAATACTGGTTTTGCCACAAGGCAGTTACATAAACTGGCAGTTTGGAAGAGGCATGACTCCTTGCATACTCATACACTGATTACCTCTGAAATATCATTAATATTACTAAGTTCTCATTTACTCATAGTCTAATATAAAGAGTCAGTCTTCCATTGTGGAAGCAGAATACATAAACTGATTATGTTGGTGTTAACATGATTTCTACCACAATGCAATTCATCAGAATAAATATTTTTCTTTAAACAAAAATGATGAAAATATAGTAAAATGAGTGGGTTTTTCTTCCCAGTATAAACTATACAATTAACTACAATTTTGCCCATGAAAATGTTCTATAAATACAATAAAACTGTAATTAAAGAACACATGGATTATGTTTCCAAATTTTAGTCTCTAGAACTTGTCAAGCTAAGTAACACACAGACAGAGGCTACCTAAAAGAAAAAATGTATATTCGAAAATAAATCATTGCAATGTAAATACACATTCCATAATAACCTATGTACATATTTAGGAGGTGAAAGGAAGACAGAGGTTTTTAAAGAAGAAAAATTAGGAGGATTATACAACTGTTTTGAAATAATTATTATTGGGTACAAAGATCAGTAGCAAGAAGGATGCCAGTTCCAGATTCTACATGGAATTGGAGGGCAGATGTCTTTGCAAAAATGCTTTTTGTGAAAGGTTGCAATGGCTTTTGTGCAAGGTTGTGTTTTTTGCAGTCCTTTATGATAGTTTTTGTTATCAGTCATACAAGCATGAGAACCCTCTTTCATGGGCGTCCCTGGCTCTCTTTGTCAGGGTTTTCTTAACATTAGTGATTCCATTTTAATTCTGACAACTTTCACAAACTATATAAGGTTTCTTATAAAACAAATTTGAACTCAGAGATCATTAAGATTTTTAATAAAAGTAAATTCTATTAGAACACTAAATAACAATATTTTCATTAAAAATGTTTTAAAACAAGATGACATCTTATATAACAGCATGTAACAATGCTAAAATTGTTACAGTAAGAATACTTTACAATAAGTACATTGTAGAAAATATTTAATACTGGTTACATGTTGATGAGAAATGTGAAACTAAGTTGTTAAAGTATTCAAAATTAATAATTTAAAGGCCACAATTATTTATATATTTCAATAATTAGAGTTACCCAATTAACCACAATTTTCTGAAATATCAAGGGCAATATTGGAATCAATCTTCTGAAGTAAATTGGGTACCAATATTATACCTTAGGTCTATTTTTATATCCCATGGGGAAGATAGGTTTTCTGCCACCAAATCTTTAGTTTTAGATCAGAGCTAATTTATTAATATAGCAAATTGAAGAATAAGGCTTTAAGAAGTGAGTACTCGGTCATCCAATAACCTGGTTGCAGAATCCATCCTCCTATATATTAAATCTAAATTCTTGAATTATATCTTATTTGAATAATTATATCAATATCATATTTGAATCTTTTTTAAGTTTCACATTCTGCATGCCCAAAATTGAGCAAAAACAAGTAGATGAGAAAAAGACTCTTAACCGTACTGATTATTGTTACTCTAAATAAATGACCACAAATCTCAGGCAAAATGTTTGAAATACCTTGCGATGCTTCTACTTTCTCTAATCAGTCATCTCTTCTAATCTCTGAGAATGATCTTTTATGTCTTCTTTACTTTCTCAACTCTATTATTACATTTGACTCAGGACATTGGTTTGTATTTCAATGAGAAAATTTAAGCAAACTAGTGAACTACTTCATGTTCTCAGCAGCAGATCCACTAATCTGACTAAAGCGATACATGTATATTTTACCCGCTCTCTTGCTAGAACTGCTGAACTTCCTCGATGTGCCATGAATCCCATGTACTCTTGAAATTGAGGGAAATAGCTCTGATAATGCTTTATTTATATTCCTACTTCATCAAATTTTTGTTTCTTTTGCCTAGTAACCCTTATCCCATACCATATAAATAAATTTCCTGGAAACTATACCTACACCTTAAGGGGGTTCCTCAGTAGTCTGTTTATAACAAAACTTCTCCAAAAATTTGTACGTAACATTTCTCAGTTATTTACCTTCCTGTTTCTTATTAACTAAATCCAGGACTTTTTTTTTTTCTACCACTCCACTGACGCTTGTGTATCAAGTTTAGGAACAGCTTCCATCTTGACCAGTCCAAAGTCCAATACTTTTACATTAGATTACCTGACCTCCAAGGAGCATCAATGTCTCCTTCCTGAAATACTCTATTTGCATAGCTTCCTTGCCACAGCAGTGCCCTTATATTTTTTTCCCTTATCTGGCTGTTCAGGAAATGAGGTATTGAGTCGGTCAATTAAGGTAACATGCCAAAGTGAAAGTAACAATCCAGTCTTTATTTGCTTATTGTGACAGTGCAAGCAAGGAGCAAATGAGGGAGGCACCAACTCCCATTGTTACATTTTTTTTTCCCAATGGAATTGCACTGTGTGAAGATCTGGTGGATTCAGCACAAACAGGGAAAATTGCTTTACTGTGAAAAAGTCCTGAACAGAAGGCCTTTTAGTGGACCTGTGGGGCAGAGGGAGAAAGTTAGGAAAGAGCTAGGAGTAGAAAAATACCAAGTAAAGAGGAAGAAAAGTACAAGACTCTGATAAAGGGTTTTTGGCAGAGGCACCTGAGAAGTGCTTTAGCAAAGGCCTTAGATATGAGGGCCTCTGAAACATGGTGCCTGAGTTAACAAGGCAAATATGTGTCTGAGCATGGTTTGCCAAGACAGAGAAAGAGTACCTGAGCCCTTTACTGCAAATGTTTCCAATAAACATATAATGCATACCCAAACACCAAGTTTGGTGTGGGGACGACAGCTTCCACCAATGAGGCCAGACAGACAAAGCCTTGCCATTACCTATGGTCAAGCCTGATAAACCACACATAAGATTTTACCCTAAAGCAAGACTCCTCAGCCCACTGACTGACCTTGCTTACACCCCACTCTCTGTAGTTCATTTTCCCAAAAGTGGCAAGGCAGAATTTTTATTTTTATTTAATTTTTTATTTTTATTTTTGAGATGGAGTCCCTCTCTGTTGCTCAAGCTGGAGAGCAGTGGCATGATCTTGGCTCACTGCAACATCAGCCTCCCAGGTTCAAGCGATTCTCCTGCCTCAGCCTCCTGAGTAACTGGGATTACAGCTGCGTGCCACCATGCCCAGCCAGTAATTTTTAAATGTAATTATATCATAACACAAATTCCTTACTATATATACAGGTTCTACATAATAAGGCCCTTGCCTATCTCTCTGACTTCATTACCCCACTCTAGCCACAGTGGCCTTTATCCTACAAGCATGCCAGGCTCATAGCTATCTAAACATCTTTATACCTTTCTTCTCAGAAAAATATTTTCTCATAGTTTTCTTAATTATTCATATCTTTGATCAAATATTATCTTATCAAAGCAGTATTCTATGACTACGTGAAATAGTGTATCTAGTTCCTATTTTTATTGCTTTAATTTTATTCTTTAAACATATAATCTGGTATCATATTACATATTTGTCTGCTAAATTTTATTGTCTGTTTCATGAGAATATTGATTTTTATGAAGGCTAAAACTTTGCTGAATATTCATTGACTAAAACAGTGCCTCATACATAGCCTATGGTTAATAAATGTTAGCTAGATAAGTCAATAAATTGAGAAATATAGGTTCAGTTATGTTATTCTATTTCTTAAAGTCAGGAAATTAATGCATAACAGTTTGCTCTCAAAATTTTAAATAAGAACAAGAGTAATTGGAAAGGAACATAGTGAAACTATATGATGGTATAGAAATTTAAGAATCTCCTAAGATTGATACCTACACCATTCATTTGGTTAATATGCTTATGCTATCAACATAATGTATTCCAAAAATAAGAGTTTTCATCAAAAAATCACCATCCTAGGCCAGTTATGTTAAGCTTGACACTTTTAGTATTACCTCTTCTCTAGGTTCTTAGGTACAGTTTGCAATTTCAGAAATGATCTTTATTTTAGTCCTTCCAAATGTAATTATAGGCCCTACAATCACTGTCACCCTTGCTTCCATGGTAAGGGTACACACAAGTAGACATGACAATCACAGGGTGGTTAAGCCATCCAGTGATTAGTCGTCATTTTATTGTATGTGGATGTATGTATTTGTACACATGTATGTTTTCTGGAAGAGGAACAGAAGTGATTATAAAAAAACATGGCAAGTGATAAAATTTAGTAAGTAATATTCACAGAAAACAACTCAGTCCCTATGAATATAATACACTCAATGAAGATTTTTAAAAATATTTCTATAATCAGTGTTTATGATTGTAAATAATCAAAATGGTATAAAGATTAATTTCACAAAAAGTTTACACTGGAGATTTACATGAACCTTATTTAGTTCCAAAGTATTTGATGCAAGGTGTTATCAAAATTAACAAAAAATTGATCTGTAAAATAATAATGTAAAACAAGATGATCAGTCATATTTTTTCATAACCTCAGCAAAGAAAACAAGTTCTGAAGTAAATCTAAATAGCTTAATACTGCAAAGGATATAATATTCTGCCAAAAACTCATAGTAAAATTTATGGTGGAACAGGTTTTGTGAAATCATTAAATGCTATTTATTCTGTGTGATGATGTTATTTTATTGATTTATTGTGTGTAAAATGATTCCTTATGCTAATTTAAATGGGTAGAAAGCTCTGTCATGGAGTCCTTATGCATATGTGCATGAATATTCCCTTAAGTTATGCTTGGGTGTTTTCCAATCTTATCAAAGAGTAAAAAATGAACTTTGGGTGAAATTGGAATTGCTACAAAATACTGACTCCATCAGATATGAACATTTTTACCAATACATTGAGTAATATGAAAGATAAATTTGTCAACCTAAAAATGCAAGCCCATTCACAAAAATAAGGGAACACACAATGAATGTTTGGCATTATATAGATAACATATTATGGGATCCAGGAAACATAAGTTGGCATTTGAATGTTGATGTTTCTAAATTTTTCAGCAGCTTTGTAGTTTGAACATGTAGTTTGGTGTGATACTAAGTCACAAGATATAAGAAATATGTTATAGCTATATGGTAAATAAAGAGGAAGAAAACTTGGATTGTTGAAATTGTGAAGAACACTTTATGAAGCTCTTGTATGAGAGTAAGATGATTAGATTCTTAGTGATGTAAAGATGAACTAAATAGCATAAAACATAAGCAACTTTAGACTGCCATGTTGCTTCAGTATTTCATCCTACTTAGTATACATCACATTATTTTATCATTTTTAATAAAGTATTATTGTTTATACTTTTCAATAAAATTAGATTTAAGAATATCTTCTATTTCTTATAATTCACACTGAGCTTACTAAGAACCTTATAATGTTCAGTGATAGTATTTTTATAAAGGGAAATGTGGTTCACAGAGAAGACATAATTGAATATGCCAAACATTTTGTATATTTTATCCATAAAATATAATGTTAAAATCAGATATTTTCACTAAAAGTATAAAAATATGTGATTATATTAGACAAATTCTGCAGAAAAATAGCAGTAATATGGATTTATAAAATGATATGGGAAACTTTAATATGGTTCATTAAAACAGACCAAAAATAACTTTTCTGTCTGCGATATAATTTAGTGTCTACCTAATACATATAAGTTATAAACATTTCTTTAATATGAAGATATACAATCTTCTACATTTTTATAATGCCCCTTTATTGTAAAATAATTTAAATATGCCAATAAAGAGAATATGCTAGTCTCCATATAAATATTTACAACTTTACTTAATGTATTAGTATAATGTTTTAAAACAGTTTAACCATTACAGTGTTTTGCATTAAATTATATGGTTAGTTATTCCATAGATTTTTTTGTGTGTGTCAGTAAAATTAACTAGGTTATATATGATAGAGACTTAATAGGTGTTATAGATTCCTGTACTACATCTTTGAAATGACATTAATTATAAAATACAAATTCAAAAAAATATAACAGCTAAAATAAATATTTTATTTCACTATGAATTCTAAGAAATAATTAAAAGATAAGAATGAATTAGAATTGGCTTGAAGCATAATACCACATCCCAGTATGTTTATAGACATGCTGTATACCATGCTTCATGTTTGCCATTTTTCCAAAAGTGGTAGATGTCAGTGCAGGAACAGACAACATTGGCAGCAAAAAAGTGATACTGCATACTAATGACTGTCCACTTTCACTCTCAACTTTGGCAGTACTTCAGAAAATAGAACACTTATTTACCATATGACTTAGCAATTGTATTACTAAATAGTTGAAAGAAAACATGTCTCCACAAAAGCTTTGACACGTGCACAGCAGTTTTATTAATGACAGCCCCAAATTGAAAACAATCTAAATACCTATTGACAGAATATTTGGACAAATAATTTGTGTTGTAATCATATACTAAATAAATTTCATCTTAAAAAGGAAATAAATACTAATGTTCACAACATAGAAGAACCCCAGAGGCATCATGCTAAGAGAAATAAACCTTATACAATTATTTAGTGTATGATTCTATTTATTCAAAACTCTAAAAATAAAATATATAGTCTATAGTGACAAAAAGATTGTTAGTTGAGTGTACTTAGAAGCAGAATGAGAGAAATGAACTAATCAGTAATAAAACAAAAATTTTTAGATTGATGGAAATATTCTATATGTTGTTTGTGTCACCAATAACATAGGTGTATAACTTTGCAAAACTCCTTAAATTGCATACTTAAACAAGAAAATTTTATTTAATTGGATGAACTGCAGAACAAAGTAGACAAATCTTAGAAATAAACTTGTGACTAAAACAGAGCAGGTAAATAGCCAGAAAACAGAACACAGGAAAATGTAATATAAAAAAACAGGAAAATAAATCAAGGTATAATAGGTAGATTCTGAAATTACAAAAGATATCTAAGAGAGAGAATTAAGAGATATACAGTATTTTTAAGTTACATATTATTATCCTACACTTTTATTGGCTAACCTATAGAATATACGATGTTTGCTTGGCTTATTAATTTACATCAAATTTACTCTTGTCTGAAAAATTGCTGGTGACAAATTCTATCAGATATTTTTCTTTATAGGTATATATCTTTACATTTGAATGATATTTATGATGAGTTTTGAAATCTGGATTGGTTTTCCTTTTGAAAACTTAATTGTGCCATTTTATTGTTTTCTATTTTTTATAATTCCTGTTAACTCATAAGTTGCTCCTTCTCAAGTCTTACCACCATTCCTTACCCCAGTTACTCAATGACTGTTTATAAACTTTTATTTTTGTCTCCAATTTTTAGCAGTTGTGTCTTCAGTTTGTTTCCATTCCGCTTGGTGTTGATAAAACTTCTTAAATATGTGGTTGGAAGATTTTAATTCATCATAAAATTCTCCATCATTATTTTTGAATTATGTTTTTGTCCCAATCTGTCTCCTCTCTTACTATAACTCTAAATAAATGTATCACAGTTGTCTAATGTTCCCTATGCTGGTTCTTATATTTTTATCTTTTTTCTCCTTTTCTCTGTACTTAAGTGTAAATATTTCTGTATTGAATTGTCTTCCAGTTTTATAAATCTCTATTCTGATGTATCTAATTCACTACTACACCCAGTTTTTAAATTCTTAATCTTAGTTATATTACATTGATTTTTTTTTAGAACTCCTACTTAACCTCTTTCATAGGATTTTAGGTCTCTACTAAAATTTTTCATCTTCTGTTATTTGCTGCTATGGTTCCATTCAAGTCCTACCTATGGTACTTTTTTCTTAATGCCTTTAAATAATGGTTTTGTATTAATGCATGTTATGCAAATTTTATAGTTGTTTTCTTTGGAAGACTTAGTCCAATACATGTAACTCCATCATGATTGGACATGAGTACATACATTTTAAGCCAATTTTAAAAATTTATAATTCAAAAGCATGTTTTACCATTGTTAAAAATACATGTATATTCGGTTATTAAGGCTGAGATGGCCTAAAGAGTAAAATAAAACTAGAGACTTTATCACTCACAAGCTTCCAATTAAACCCTAACTAGATATTTTCTACGCTAAGCAAACATGTTTTATTTATCTTGCTTCCATGAAAACCTTATAAAAGTCTGTCTCTTGCCACCTTCTTCCCCAGCAAAGTGCTAAACCACTTGCAGTCTGATGTTGCCCAATTTATGAATCACTGAATACTGAAATAAACTCCCCAAAATGTAAATATGTCTCAGTTTAACAACATTGTCCAAAAAATGAAAAAAAAATGGTTAAATATGTATGTGTGTGTGTGTGTGTATGTGTGCATGTTTGTGTGTGCATGCATGCATGTGAGGTCTCTACACTACAATGGGCAATGTTGTTAAATTCCATTTTTCAACTTTGGGAACAGATAGAAATTTCCTGAAGTTCATGCACTATTAAAGTGCTACTAAAGTCTAGGCTTGGTATTAGAATGCAAGTCTCAATATATTGCAGATATTAATAAAAATCAATGGAAGGTCCCCAAGATGACCAACGAGAAGCTGCTAGTGGCTCTCATAGAGAGGAACGAAAGGAGCGAGTCAATATAGAACCTTCAACAGCGAGTCAATATAGCACCTTCAATGGAAATTAGTCCCAATATAGTAGTCATTGGGACTAATCAAGGAAGCAATTCAACCCATGGAGAATGAAGAAAATCAGGATAACGACCCACTTGGGAGCAGCATGGAACCAGGGGAACCTCCCCCACCCAGAGAAGCAGTGAGTGAATGTGCAACTTCAGGAATCCATGCTTCTCCCATGGATCCTTGCAACCCTAGGATCAGGAGATCCCCTTGTGAACCCATTCCACCAGGGCTTTCAGTCTGACACACACAGCTACCTGCAGTCTCAGCAGAGCAGCTGCTCAGGCACACACACATACACAGAGACTGGGCAGCCTCAGACACTCAGTTTTTTGGGGATTTCCAGCAAAAGTACCTGCAAAATCTGGCAAAGTGGGAAGTTAGACCTCCATACATAACCCTACGAAAAGGGCTAAAACCAGGGGACTGAGCAGCGACAGTCTGCAGGCCCTGATTCCATGGCACCTCACAAGATAAAACCCACTGGTTTGAAATTCAGCCAGCCCCGAGTAGCATCATTGCACCTCCCTGAGATGGAGTTCCCTGGGGGAGGGGGTAAGCCACTGTATTTGCTGTTTGGCTGACTTAGCTGTCTCAGCCTTCAAACGTTGGAGAGTCTAAGCTGACCTGGGGCTAGAGTGGGCCCTATCCTAGCACAGCTGCTGTATGAAAAAGTCACCAGACTGCTTTTTAAAGCATGTTCCCAATCTTATTTCTCCTCCTGGGTGAAACCTCCCAAGTAGAGTCTCCAGCTACCCTCACCGGTGGTCTCTAGCCAACAGAGGTTTCAAACCACCCTGGGATGGAAGTCCCAGAGAAAGGGGCAGGCTGCTATCTTTGCTGTTTGGGGGACTTAGCCATTCTGGCCTTTGGGCATTGGAGTGTCCAAGGTGACCAGGGGCTGAAGTGAACCCTCAGCACAGCACAACTGCTCTATGAGAACACAGCTACAGTGCTTTTTAAAGCAGGTCCCTGATCCTGTTTCTCCTCACTGGGTGGGATCACCTAACCTGACCTAACTGGGTGGGGTCTTCAACCACCTTCGACAGGTGTGTTTAGTCTGGCAACAGGTTCATACCTTGCTGGGATGGAGCTCCCAAAAGGAGGGGCAGGCTGCCATTTTTACTATTTCAAAGTCTTCACTGTTGATATCTCTAGGTACTTGAAAATCTGAAGTGATTAGGGACTGGAGCAGGCCCCCAGCATACCACAGCAGCCCTGTGGAAAATTGGTCAGACTGTTATGTGGGTTCCTGTTCCTACATATTCTCACTGGGCAGGTCCTCCAGGCCTGGGCCTCCAGTCATTCCTTGTCAGAGCTATTGAGCCAGTAGCAGCTCTGCAGCTCCCAGGACAGAGCCCCTAGAGGCAACTAAAAGCTTCTCTGCCACTGCAATTGCAGTGGGACTGCATTTGCTACCCTCGGAGTAACAAAGCAGCAAAGACTCTAAGTGCTTTATCCATACCCCCAACTAGCTGCAGTGGACCCAAGGAGAGAAGGCCAGTCTGTCTCTAATGGGTCCTACCCCTCCCCCTGCCCACCATCCTGATCATCACTACACATGGAACTCCTGGCTTGGGCCCACACAGACCTTCTCTTCTGGACTGCACTGAGAAATTGCTGACTTGCATTTCTCTGAGGTAGAGCCCCCAAGAAACAAGCAAGAGACCATTGCCCACAACCACTACTAAGGTCCCTGCCTCTGCTGCCTCCAAGTTGAGAAGGAAACATAAACACTGAGATTGCCCCAGAGCTGCAATGGGCAGCCAAGGAGTGCCAAGCTGCGATATACAGCCAGAACTCAACGGGGAGGGCGGCTCACACTTTCAGAGCATTGAGCGAGAACCTGGCTGCAACTGTTAGAAAACATAAGAGAGCTCCACAGCCAAGCAAGAGTCTACCAACTGACTAATGTGCCTAAGCGCCACCTAGTGGATCAGACCCCAAAGCTTCTCAACACCAAAAATATCTCATTAATATACCCCCTTCTGAAACCAAAGACAAGAATTCAGCTTCAAATAAAGACCCTGCACAAAACCTTGGCCCTGTGAAAACATTCAGAAAAGAAGTATATTGTCTGTACTCAGTCTAAACTGCAGTTAAAGGAACACTCACATGAAGAGATGAGAAAGAACCAACACAAAACTTTGGTAACTCAAATGGCCATAGTGTCATATGTCCTCCAAATGACCATGCCAGTTCTCCAACAAGAGTTCTGAGCCAAGCTGAGCTGTCTGAAGTGACAGAAATAGAATTCAAACTATGAATTGGAGCAAAGATGATCAAGATTCAAGATAATGGCAAAACGTAATCCAAGGAAACTAAGAATCACAATGCAATAATACAGGAGTTAAAGGATGAAACAGCTGGTATAAAAAAGAACCTAGCATATCTGACAGAGTTGAATAACACAAGAATTTCACAATTCAAAAACAAGTATTAACAGCAAAATAAACCAAGCTGAGGAAAGAATACCAGAACTTGAAGACTGGCTCTCTGAAATATGACAGTCAGACAAAAACAAAGAAAAAAGAATGAAAATAAATGAACGAAATTTATTAAAAGTATGGGACTATGAAAAGAGGCCAAATAAACAAATAACTGGCATCCCTGAAAGGGTCGGGGAGGGTAGAAAGCACACAACTTGGAAAACATATTTTAGGATGTCGTCCATGAAAGATTTCCCAACCTTTCTAGAGATGCCAACAGTCAACTTTGGAAAATGTAGAGAACTTTTGCAAGATTCTACATAAGAAGTTCATCCACAAGACACATATTTGTCAGATGTTCCAAGGTTAAATGAAAGAAAGAATGTTAAAGGTAGCTAGAGAGAAAGGTCAGGTCACCTACAAGGGGAGCCGCATCAGGTTAACAGCAGATCTCTCTGCTGAAACCTCACAAGCTAGAAGCGAGAAGAGATCAGGGTTCTGCATTCAACATTCTTAAAAGAAAAAATCTTCAACAAAAAATTTTATATCCAGTCAAACTAAGCTTCCTAAGCAAAGGAGAAATAAGATCCTTTTCAGATAAGCAAATGTTGAGGGAGTTTGTTACCACCAGACCTGACTTAGAAGAGATTTTGAAAGGTGCACTAAATATGGAGAGGACAGACTGCTAATAGATGGTAAAGAAACACAGTTAAATACACAGACCAATGACACAATAAAGCAACCACACAAAGAAGCCAGCAAAATAACCAGCTAACAACACAATGACAGGATCAAATCCACACATATCAATACTAACCTTGAATGTATATGGGCTAAATGTACCACTTAAAAGGCACACAGTGGCAGCCTGGATAAAATGCAAGACCCAATGGTAAGCTGTCTTCCAGAGACCCATTTCACACATAATGACACCTATAGGCTAAAACTAAAGGGACGGAGAAAAATCCACCAAGCAAATGAAAACAGAAAAAAAGCAGAGGCTGCCATCCTAATTTCAGACAAAACAGATTTCAAATCAACAGAGATTAAAAAAAAAAAAGACAAAGGAAGGGAGATGCATAATGGTAAGGGAATAAATTCAACAGGAAGAACTAACTATCCTAAATATATATGTACTCAGCACGAAAGCACCCAGATTGATTAAAAAAGTTCTTACAGACCCACAAAGAGACATAGACTTCCATACAATAATGGTGGGAGACTTCAACACTCCACTGACAGACAGTATTAGATAGATCATTGAGACTGAAAATTAACAAAGATATTCTGGACCTGAACTCAACATTGAACCAAATGGATCTGATAGACCTCTCCAGAACTCTCAACCCAAAACTAACAAAATATATGTTCTTCTCATCGCAACATGACACATACTTTCAAATCGACCACATAATTGAACATAATACATTTCTCAGCAAATGCAAAAGAACCTAAATCATGCCAAACACACTCAGACCACAGCACAGTAAAAATAGAGGTCAAGACTAAGAAAATCATTCAAAACCATGCAATTACATGGAAATTAAACATCATACTCCTGAATGACTTTTGGTGAATAATAAAATTAAGGCAGAAATGAAGAAGTTATTTGAAACTAATGAGAATAAAGATACAACATGTAGAAGTTATTAGAAGCTAATGAGAACAAGGGATACAACAACAATCTTGTTCACAGCTAAGGGAACGTTAATAAGAAATTTTATGGCACTAAATGCCCACATCAAAAACTTAGAAAAATCTCCAATTAACAACTTAACATCACAACTGAAATAATTAGAGAAGCAAGAACAAATGAACTCCAAAGCTAGCAGAAGACAAGAAATAACCAAAATTAGAGCTGAACTGAAGGAAATCAACACACAAATACAATTCAAAAGATCAACAAATCTCAAGTTCGTTTTTTGAAAAACTTAATAAGATAGACTGCTAGCAGACAAAAAAAGAAGAAAAGAGAGAATATCCAAATAAACATAATTAGAAATACCAAAGAGAATGTTACTACCGACGCCAGAGAAATAAAAAATAATAATCAAAAACAAATAGAAATACCTCTTACACACAAACTAGAAGACCAAAATAGTAGAATAAGTTCCTGGAAACACAGCCTCCCAAGACTGAACCAGGAATAAATCAATAACCTGAACAGACCAATAATGAGCTCTGAAATTAAATCAGTAAAAGTCTACTAAAAAAAAAGAAAAAAAGAAGGAAAAAGCCCAGGACCTGATGGATTCAGAGATGAATTTTACCAGATGTACAAAGAAGAGCTGTTACCATTCTTACTAAAGCTACTCCAAAAAATTGAGAAGGAGAGATCCATTCCCAACTCATCCTATGAGGCCAGCATCATCCTGATACCACACCTGGCAGAGACACAACAGAAAAAAGAAAACTTCATGCCAATATCCTTGATGAACATCAGTGCAAAAATCATCAACAAAATACTTTCAAACTGAACCCTGCATCACATTAAAAAGCTAATCTACTACAATCAAGCAGGCTTCATCCCCAGAATGAAAGGTTGGTTCAACATACTCAGATCAATATATGTGATTCATCACATAAGTATAACTAAAGACAAAAATGACATGATTATTTCAATAGATGCAGAAAAGGCTTTTCATTAAATTCAACACCTTTCATATTAAAAGTGCTCAGTAGGCCAGGTGTGGTGGCTCATGCCTGTAATCCCAGAACTTTTGGAGGCCAAGGTGGGGTGATCACTTGAGGCCAGGAGTTTAAAACCAGCCTGGCCGACATGGCAAAATGCCGTCTCTACTAAAAATACAAAACTTAGCCAGGTGTAGTGGCACATGCCGGTAATTCCAGCTTCTTAGGTGGCTGAGGCATGAGAATTGCTTGAACCTGGGAGATGGATGTTGCAGTTTGCTGAGATCATGCTGCTGCATAGCAGTCTGGGCAACAGAGCAAGACTTCATCTAAAAAAAAACTCTCAATAAACTAGTTATTAAAGAAACACACCTCAAAATAATAAGAGCCATCTATGATAAACCCACAGCCAACAGCATACTGAATGGAGAAAACCAGAAAGCATTCCTCTGAAAACTGGCACAAGACAAGGATGCTGTCTCTCACCACTCCTATTTAAGATGGTATGAAAGTTGTAGTCAGAGCAATCAGGCTAACAAAAGAAGTAAAGGGCATCAAAATAAAAAGAGAGGAAGTCAAACTATCCCTGTTTTCAGACAACATGATTCTATATGTAGAAAACCTCATAGTCTCTTCCTCAAAGCTCCTTCACCTGACAAATAACTTCAGCAATGTTTTATGATACAAAATCAGTGTACAAAAATAACTTGCATTCTTATACACCAATAACAGCCAAGCCAAGAGCCAAATCAGGAAGTCAACCTCATTCACAATTGCCTCAAAAAGAGTAAAATACCTAGGAATAAAGCTAACCAGGAAAGTGAAAGATCTCTTTGATAAAAATTACAAGCACTGCTCAAAGATATCAGAAAAACAAATGGAAAGACATCCCATGCTCATGGACAAGAAGAATCAATATCATTAAAATGGCCATACTGCCCAAAGCAATTTACAGACTCAATGCTCTTCCTACCAAATTACCAATAATATTCTTCACAGAACTAGAAAAACTATTTTAAAATTTATATGGAACCAGGCCAGGCGTGGTGGCTCATCCCTGTAATCCCAGCACTTTGGGAGGCCGAGGTGGGCAGATCACGAGGTCAGGAGATTAAGACCATCCTGGCTAACACAGTGATACCCCGTCTCTACTAAAAATACAAAAAATTAGCCAGGTGTAGTGGCAGGCGCCTGTAGTCCCAGCTACTCAGGAGGCTGAGGCAGGAGAATGGCATGAACCCAGGAGGTGGAGCTTGTAGTGAGCCGAGATCACACCACTGCACTGCAGCCTGGGTGACAATGCGAGACTCCGTCTCAAAAAAAAAAAAAATTATATGGAACCAAAAAAGAGACAAAATAGCCAAGGCAATTCTTAGCAAAAATAACAAAGCTTGAGACATCATGTTACCTGAATTTAAACTTTACTATAGGGCTATAGTAACCAAAACAGCATGGTACTAGTACAAAAAAAAAAAAAAAAAGCACATGGACCAATGGAACAGGACAGAGAGCCCAACAGTAAGGTCCCACATCTGTGACCATCTGATCTTTGACAAAGCTGACAAAAAAGAGCAATGGGGAAAAGACTCCATATTTAATAAACGGTTCTGTGATAACTGGCTGGCCATATGCAGAAGACTGAAGCTGGTCCCCTTCATTATACCCTATTAAAAATAAACTCAAGATGCATTAAAGACTTAAATGCAAAACCCAGAACTAAAAAAACTCTGGATAACAACCTAGGGAATATCATCCTAGACATAGAAACAAGCAAATATTTCATGACAAAGACACCAAAAGCAATTGCAACAAAATCAAAAATTGACAGTTGAAACCTAATTAAACTTGAGCTTCTGCAGAGCAAAAGAAACTATCAACAGAGTAAACAGACAACCTACAGAATGGAAGATACGTTTTGCAAACTGTGGCTCTGAAAATTGTGCTAATATCCAGCATCTATAAGGGACTTAAGCAAATTTACAAGAGAAAAACAAACAACCCCATTAAAAAGTGAGCAAAGCACATAAACAGACAATTTTCAAAAGAAGACATACATGTAGCTGCCAATGCTTGGGGCTTGCACCCCCTGCAGCAACAGCCTGCACTGTACATTGGCACCTTTGTTTCCATCACACTACATCAGGGATAATATAACATCACAGTAGGCACTTCATAAGTGTGCATAACGGTTAAAAGCCTGTGCTCTAGAGAGGTATAGTACAGAGGTGGGAACAGGTAAGTTTAGAGTCAGTGTGCCCTGTAGATCCTTGACCTGAGACTCAGAATAGTTGTGGCTGAGAAGCAGTTGACAGAGAAGAGAGAGAAACATTGTATGCTGATGTGTGGAATAAGTCTACTGTAGCCCAGAGGATTTATAATTCAATTTTTAATTTTGAGCATGTCTCAAGGATGTGGTTTGATGTGTGGCCAGTTGTATTCTACTTGCTACGGATCTTGCCCTATTTTATAAAATCTGTGTTCCCAAAGATCCTTCTTTTGCTCTATTGTGTGGGTTTGCAACCTTACAGGGTTTTTCTTAGATGGGTGTATACAGACCTCTCTTGGGCTCTTAACTCTATTCTGATGAACACATTTCAGTGTTTTCACGTTTCAAAATCCCTACTCCTGTTACCATTTAGTGTATTAGTTTGTCCTCACACTGTTATGAAGAAATACCTGAGACTGGGTAATTTATAAAGAAAAAAGTTTTAATTGACTGACCATTCCACATGGCTGGGGAGGCCTCAGGTAACTTATAATCCTGGCACAAGGCATCTATTCACAGGGCGGCAGAAGAGAGAATGAGTGCCAGCAGGGGAAATTTCAGGGGCTTATAAAATCATCAGATTCCACTGATCAGAACTCACTCACTATCACAGAGAACAGCATGGGGAAACCACACCCAATTTGTGGGATTCAAGTACCTCCCACCAAGTATCTCCCATGACCCATGGGGATAATGAGGATTACAACTCAAGATGAGATTTGGGTGAAAACACAGTCAAACCATATCAGCAGCCAACAAACCTATAAAAAAAGCTCAATATCACTGCTTATTAGAAAATGCAAATCAAAATCACAGTGAGATACCATCTCTCACCAGTCAGAATGGCTATTACTAAAATGTCAAAAAATTAAAGACCCTGACAACGTTGTGGAGGCAAGGCAACATTTATACACTACTGGTTGGAGTATAAATTGTTCAACTATGGTGAAAATTAGTATGGAGATTCCTCAAAGAGCTAAAAGCAGAGCTACCATTTGACCCAGGAACCCCATTACTGTGTATATACCCAAAGGAATATAAAGCATTCTACCATAAAGACACATGCATGTGAATGTTCACTGCAGCACTATTCACAATAGCAAAGACATGGAATCAACCTAAATGCCCATTGATGAAAACTTGCATTAAAAAATGTGATATATATATATATATACACATATATAAATGTATATATACGTATATATAAATGTATATATATACGTATATATAAATGTATATATATACACACATACTATTGGAATACTATTCAGCTACATATACTATTGGAATACTATTCAGTCACTATAATGGAATACTATTCAGCCATAAAAAATAGCAAGATAGTGTCTTTTGCAAGAACATGGATGGAACTGGAGGCTATTATTTTTTGCAGACTAACACAGGAACAGAAAACTAAATAGCAAATGTCATCACTTATAAGTGGGAGCTAAATGATGATAACTTATGAACACAAAGAAGAGAACAGACATTGTGGTCTACTTGAGGGTGAAAGGTGGGAGGAGGGAGAGGAGTAAGGAAGATAACTATTAAGTACTAGGCTTAATAACTCAGTGATGAAATAATCTGTACAACGAACTCCCATGACATGAGTTTACTTATGTAACAAAACTTTACATGTACCCCTGAACCTAAAATAAAAGTATTAAAACTTATTTTAAGAAAGAATCAATGTTGCTTTCTTCAACTAGACAGCATCATTTGATTAAACAAGAGAAAAGGTTGGCAATTTCTAAGGCACTAGAAGAGAAAGGGCAATCTAACACCTTAAATAGCAGTTCATTGTGTACAATTAAGAGTGTAGAGTTGGGTAGATTGATGTCTAACTATATTCTGTATTGGTGTTGGAAGCTTAATTTTTGTATCTACCTCTCTAGCATAAGATATTTTTGTCAATATAAATTACCTTTAGTGTGTTTACTCAACAGGAAAGTCAAGCAGGAACACTGTAACATAGTCAGAAAATAAAATTAAACAAAGGAAAGAAATCACTCATAATTCAACTTCAGAAGTAAACTTCAGAAGTAAACTGCTTAGTATGATTCTTCTATTCTATCTCCTCTCATGTAGTTTATTATGTGAAAATTACTAATAAGCACTCATAACTAGATACATTCATTACCATTTTAGTTAATTAAATGAACAAGCCACTGCACTTAATTTTTGTGGAAAACAAAATAAAATTTTATGATTCAAATAAATTAACAGTATTCACTTACATTGCTTAATAAAGAAATATGTCATTTTACTTAAAACATACCAATACTAGATTTGAAAAGAAAAAGTTGTTACTTTGGATGTCAAAGTTTTATTTTGGAGCTTCTTAAAATCCTTAAACTTCTTTAGCTCAGGCAAAACAACCTTTGGTTTTCAATGATATTTTTCCCAACTTAAATTAGAGCAGTTACTATTCTCCTGAGTTTACTCTTTTCTTTAAATAAATTGGCTTGTTTTCTTTCAAAATAAGAGGATTGTAAGGTGATATCCACAATATAAATTGTGTGGAATGTTCATAAGCCTTTCTAAAGTCATACACATTTCTACAAGAGGGAGCTTACATTTTGCCTTTCATATCACATACTTCTTTTCTTTGTACACCCTCTCAATCTTGCTACTACATTTATAGGTAGTTTCAGCCTTCTGTGGTGCAGTTTTTCCCAAATGTAGATGCAATTTTTGTAGTAAAAAATTTACCTTACCCAAAGAAAGATCTCTGGTCTTTGCCTTTCTCTACTTCAAAGTGATCTTTGGGCTAGTAGAATGTCATGCTTGATATCGGTGTCTTTGTTTGTCTTGGGGTTCTGGCCGCTAGACAGCATAACAATGTGATTTGTAATGAGGGATTTGGGTCATGCTATGTCAGTTCTTCCTCTAGAGGGACCGGAGATTGAAGATACACTGACAGAGCTGAAGACTAAAGTTCAGCCACATAGGAAGTATGTGATCAAAGTCATGAAGTGCAATTAAAAACCGGGTACCAAGAGTTGGGTAAGCTTTCCTGGTTTCTAATACTGTCATACATTATGGCTGAGAGGAGTTAACATTGTCTATGAATCCATGGAAAGCGGACATTGGGATGCTCTATGTTTGGACTTCTCTTGAACTCTGACCTACCCATCTCTTCTTTGGACTGATTTTGATCTGTATTTTTCCCAGGAATAAACTGTAACTATGGATATTACAGTTTTCAGTGAGTTCTGTGAGTATTCCTAGCATATCATCAAACCTAAGGGTAGTTTGTAAGTGGTGTCCGAAGTAAAGGTAGCCTTGTGTAGACTGTGTTGCGCCTTGAACTTCACAGTCGACTAACTCAGACCCATCCAATTTATTCATCTATAATTTATCTCACATTGTTTTCCTAATAGATTTTACTGAAGTGCAGAAGATGGTAAAAGAAAATCACTGTACAGTAAGGAACTGTCTTTTTCATTTATTTGTTGATTATTATCTCTGATCCTAGTCCCAAAATCTCCTGCCATGAACCTGGGTTAGACCTTTTTATATATATTTTTCCTGACCAAGGAATTCCTAAGGCCAATTTTTGATAAACAAAAGTATATTAAGAAGTCTTACCATATAAAATAATGTCTGTTCCCCTAGAAATAGTATTCAGCTTCCTTAGGGAAACAAATCAAAATACTGGCATACTGATATTCTTTAAAATTAATTAAAAAAATTAAAACACAAAACAGAAGAAAGAAAACAGATTTTACCCCTTCCGTTATATCTCTCCAAAAGAGACTGTAAGTTCCTGGTGGAGCATTTCTTCCAATTCCTAAAATGAGCATTGACTCAGAATAGATAACCAAGTAATAAAATAACAAAAGATAGAAAATGAATATCCATTAGTCTGTACCGATACAAATAGATAAATGAACAAATGTACAAGCAGAAGGGGAAAAGTCAGAACATAATAAATGTATAATAAATAAGGGAATTTTAAAAATTATCATTATACAAGAGTACTAATGGCTGTCAGCAATATTCACTGATGAATTTTAAAAGATGGAGAAAGGAAGTTTAAGGAGAAACAGAATATTTGAATAATCTAAAAGCATTTCCTAAATATATTTACTAATTACTGGGGTGGTTTTAACATATATCCTCAAATACTCTAAAGTCCTTGCTTCGGACTGTACAATGTAGTTCTCATCTCAAATGTGGACTGAATTTTGCTATTTATTTCTCATGACTGGAGCACATAATGGGAAAATGATAATTTTGTTTTGGAGAAACCTCAACGACGACACCTTAATCAAGTGATAAATGTGGCCATTACCAGAAATGCATCATGTTATTACCATATATTTTCCATTAGGATATGATAAGCAGGTCACTTTGCCTCTGAGACATTCTCCCCAAAAATCAGTAGTTCCAGACCAATCATGAGAAAACATAAGACAAACATAAATGAAGAGACATTTTACAAAATATCTGTCCTGCAGTATTCAACAGCATGGAAGTTACAATAAGAAGGGCAGATTGAGAGATTGTCACAGATTAAAGCAGGCTAAAGAGACATGATGCCTAAATGCAATGAAATGACAGAATCAGAAAAAAAGGATATTAGTGAAGACAGTGGTAAAATGTGAATAAAGCCTGGAGTTTATTCAATAATATTATGCCAATGTTAATTTCATAGAGTTTATAATTTTACAATGGTTTTGTAAATGTTGACTGTAGGGAAAACTGGCTGAAGCTTGTATGAGAACTCTTTGCATTATCTTTTCAACATTTTTTTTGTAAATCTAAAATTATTTCAGAATAAAAGTTTAAAACTGTCAATCACCAATCTTTCACTATCTTGAGTAAGAGAACAATTTGCAACCATTCTTTACAAATACGCCTTTTTGCTTTCCTGCTTTATTTCTCTTCATAATATAGAGGGTCATATTGACAATATGCTATCTAGTTTTCTTATTTGTTTATTGTTGGTTTTGTCTCCTCTAGAGGTAAGCTCCATGACTATAGTAATTTTGTGTAAATTACTTCACTAATATATCTATTGTACCCAGAATTCAGTAAATATTTATCAAGTTGAATGATTCAAATTAAATATTATCTAGTTTAGAAATATGTTTTGTATATAAATACCTCAATCTTTTATTTTTCAGTTTAAGAAAGATACTTATTCTGAGTAGTCCAGCCAAATTTAAACAATACACTTCACAACGCATAGGACATATCTATTCATAATTCTTACAGATACAATGTCTTAATTAGTTCAGGCAGCTATAACACAATATCATAGGCTGGATGGCTTAAACAACAAACTTTATTCCACACGGTTCTGGAGACTAGCAAGTCCAAAATCAAAGTGCCAGCAAATTTGGTGTCTGATGAGGGCACTCTTCCTTCTTTGTAGACAGCAGTCCTCTTCTTGTTTCCTTACATGGGAGACAGAGGAGAGAGAAAAATAATAATAATAATACTCTCCTGTGTCTTTTTATAAAGGTATTTATCCATTCATGGAGGGCTCCACTTTTATGATTTAATTACCTTCCAAAGGACAGACTATCATATTGGGGGTTAGGATTTCAACATGAATTTGTTGTAGGCACAACAAATTCTTACTCTATAGTACTTACTCCATAGCATGATACTTACTCTATGGCACTAATAATAACTCTGTAGCAAATACTTACTCTATAGCACTAAGACATTTTCTAAATTTTTATTGTTCTTTATGTTGGAAATTAGCCAATTCTGGTCAAATAATAGTATATCATTAGTCATGGTTACCTTTATAGGCAATTTTTGTCTATTTCCTTAAGATAGTTAACCATGTTGTTCTTGGTTTCATGATTGCAGTAATTATTAAATAATCATATCTTATGATAATAAGATATTATATCAGAGTGAATAGATGAGAATAATGACACCATAGATAATCCCAGTTCATGTATCTTTTGGAGTAAAGCTAGAATCATCAGTATAAAAATGTAAGTACTCAAATTATAGTTTAAGATGTTTTATAAATTTTGTTTTATGCCAAGACTTCGATACATACTTATTTCTGGAATTTTATAGTTTTCAAATGACAGAAACATACAACATATGTTTTCTGTTAAAGCTTATGAAATTTTGTTGTCTATATAAATCTTTGACTTTTCACTCACACGTTGTTAAAATTAATCATGTTTGTTCTTGTTTTGGAGTACTTGATGAATTATATTGCTGTGATTTGTGGATCAGGTACTAAATGTTAAATGTTAAATTTTATAAAATTGTCTCATCCATTCAGTCTCATTCATTCATTTAGCAGTAAATCAAATTAATAAGGAATGGCAGAAATAAATGAGAACCAATTCCAGAACGTAATACTTTTATTTAAATTCAGTGTATAGATAAAAGTTTTAGTTATTTTCCTTGACAATTTATGCCATCTTTATACCAAAACTAACAAGAGACTCAGTTATCACCCCATAAGGAAGAATTAATAAACTGGAGAGAATTTAAAAATATATAAAATATATATATAAGTATGTGTGTGTGTGTGTGTGTGTATATATATATACATACACAAGATATATATAGTGTGTGTATACATTATATATAATGTATACATTATACATATATATACAGTATACAGTATATATACATATACTGTATATATGTATATTATATGTACATTGTATATATATAATGTATACAGTATACTATATATACACACACACACACACACACACACATAAATACAAGACTATGGAGACCTAACATGTTCCCTGTGTTTGCCCAGCATTTGCTTTCGCTTTTATTAAAATCTGATAGTTTACCCTTTGCCTGGATTTCCATGAGTTATGAGTATGTCCTTCCAATAGTACTTACCACAAATATAACTTGATTGAAAGTAGTTTAAGTTGCTCTACAAAGGTTATTTCTAAAATACTGTGTTTCTCATTGAGATTTCTCTTTGAGATATTACCTAACTTGATCTATATATTAGGTAGATATACAATATATTAGGTAGATATACAATATCTATATATTAGGTAGATATACAATATATTCCAATATGACATGCACAGTACATAAGATAAAGCCCTCACACTTTCACACCACTAAATATATTTAAACAACGTCAAATTTTGAAAGAAATTTCAAAATTCAGGACCAAATAGTCTGATAAAGACTTACAATAAATATATTGATTTTTATTATAATGATTGATAAACATATTCATTTAGATGTATGTGTTTATCAATTTTTTAAACATCAATCACATTTCTTAAATAACATACTTGCTTGTTGGAGACTGCTTGAATATGTTCATACTGATTTTAATTACAACTAGGTTCAGTAAAGGAAAAGGCAATACTCTATAAAAATAAATTTTTAAATTTGAACATAAATATTTTCCCCCATCAAACTCCAAGTTAAGCAAGCTTGTGTAACTTGTGTAGAAAATCCATCACACCCATCTTTCTGTGTTCCTACTGTCAGCATTTTTCAGTAAGAAAAAAATCTCAGAAGTGTAATGAGCAATCTTATATTTTAGTTAAATCACCCAGATGTTCTTTTTTATTATAATTTTCCCCTGGAAAATAAGAACAGGTGGTTAGTTGCACTCTGCCAAAAAAAAAAAAAAAAAAAAAAAAAAAAAAAAAAAAAAAAAAAGAGAGAGAGAGAGAGAGAGAAAAGGATGATTTAAAAAAATATATAGATTGTCTCATGTCAGTTATTTTTCCAAGAGTAACAACTCTTCCAACAAGAACATGTTCTGTTATAAGCTTCTTAATTCTGCCAAATTCTATTTCAGCTTACTTCATATCTGGGTCTTTGCCACAAACACAAACTGTTTTGTGGTCAGTGTGTTAAAACAATCATCTAGAAACAGTCTGTTTGCATCAGTCTTAACTCAAAATATATTATGTATTTCTCATTGGATTGCCAACACTTTTGCTTAAGCTCACTGTTCAAAAGTTTGAAAATTCAAGTCCGTGTGTGTGTGTGTGTGCGTGTGTGTGTGTATGTGTATGTTTTGCTGGTTTCCCTTTGAATCCTAATTCTTTAACAGCACCTATAAGAAAAATTATCAGAAGTTAGAATGAAATCTCACTTATAAACCAAGGTATGTCTCTTGAAATTACAGATACTGAACATCTTCAAACATTTCCAGATGTTCTAGCTAAATATGTTAAATGTATTGTGGTGAGGTACCTGAGCAAGGACATTTTCACAAGTAAGTCCTTTTGATTACTAAGTAAGCAAGAACGTTTCTTTTAGTAAAAAGAATATTTGCTCATTTTACTTACCAATGGTAAATTTAGCAGCAAGTACTGACATCTGAGCATACACTAAGATATATTTCAGTTTACAATTCTGATGACTTTACATTTGGATTCTGTAAAAAGGTCGTCTTTCTCTGGGACAGTGATAATAAGTGAGATGAGTGAGGAAGGAAGGAGGAAGGAAGGAAGGAAGGAAGGAAGGAAGGAAGGAAGGAAGGAAGGAAGGAAGGAAGGAAATTCAACCTTATAACTTGACGTTAGCTAAGTTATTTTCTGTAAGGGCCAAGTCACATATATTTTAAGCTCTGTGAACCCTATGCTATCTGTCATAGCTATTCAACTTCATGTTTCATAATAAAAAAGCAGACTTAGACAATTGTAAACAAATGAGTGTTGCTGTGTTCCAACAAAGTTTACCTACAAAAGTAGGATGTGAGCTGGATTTGATACATAGGACAGCCATAGTTTGCCAGCCTTGGGTATAAGTGAATATATAATAAAGATGTGCACATGCTTAACGCTGAATATATTTTTGAGTGAGTGATATTGGTTAATAATATTTCCCTCTTTGCATTTGTTCAGCAATAAACTGAAAAATCCTCCACTAATATTTTTAATCTTTATTTTTATATATTTAGGGGGTACGAGTGCAGATTTCCTTTATGTACTTACTCTGTAGTGGTAAAGTCTGGGCTTCCAGTGTACCCATCACCCAAATAGTAAACATTATACCCAATCGATAATTTTTCAAACCTCACTCCCTTTCTACCCTTTCACCTTTTGTAGTCTCCACTGTACATTATTCTACTCTGCTTGCCCATGTGTACCCACTGCTTAGCTCCCAGGTTTAAGTGAAAACATCTAATATTTGACTTTCTGTTTCTGAGTTATTTCACTTAGAATAATGGCCTGCAGTTACATACGTCTTGCTACAAAAGACATTATTTCATTCTTTTTTACGGCTGAGTAGTATTCTGTGGAATTTATACATACCGCATTTTCTTTATCCAGTCATCCATTGATCGATAGTTAGGTTGGTTCCATGCCTTTGCTATTGTGAGTAGTACAGTGATAAACATATGAATGTGCATATCTTTTTGACGTAATGATTTTATTCCATTTGGGTGTATACTCAGTAGTTGGATTGCTCTATTTTTAGTTCTCTGAAAAATCCCCATATTGTTTTCCATAAAGCTTGTACTAATTTACATTCCCACCAAAAGCATGTAAGTGTTCCAATTTCTTCACATCATTCCCAACATCTGCTGTTTTTTGACTTTTTAATAATTGCCATTCTGACTGATGTAAAATGGTATCCCATTGTGGTTTTAATTTGCATTTCTTTGATGATTAGTGATACTGAGCATTTTTTCATGATTTTTGACCACTTGCATGCCTCCTTTGAAAAGTGTTCCTGTTTTTGCCCACTTTTTAATGGGGTTATTTGCATTTTTCTTGCTGAGTTTTTTGAGATATTTGTAGATTCTGATATTAGCCCTTTGTCAGATGCATAGTTTGCAAATACTTTTCCCATTTTGTAGGTTGTCTGTTTACTCTCTTAATTTTTTTTTTTCCGTGCAGAAACTTTTTAGTTTAATTACATCACCTTTGTCTATTTCTGTTTTTGTTGCATTTGCTTTTCAGATCTTAATAATTAATTATTGGCCAACACCAATATCCAGAAGAGATTTTCCGAAGTTTACTGCTGGGATTTTTTATAGTTTCAGGTCTTATGTTTAAGTCTGTAATCCATCTTTAGTTAATTTTTGCGTATGATGAGAAGTACAGGTCCAACTTTATTTTTCTGCATATGGCTATCCAATTTTCCCATCATCATTTATTTTAATAGATTGTCCATTCCTCAGCATACATTTTAGCTCACTTCGTCAAAAATCAATTCGTTGTAGGTATCTGGCTTTATTTCTGGGTTCTGATTTTTGTTCCATTGTTCTGTGTGTTTACTTTTACCTCAGTACCGTGTTGTTTTGGTTACTATGAGCTTACAGTATAATTTGATATCAGGTAATGTGATGCTTCCAACTTTGTTCTTTTTTCTTAGGATTGATTTGTTATTCAGGATCTTTGTTGGTTCCATATTGATTCTAGAGTCATTTTTCCAGTTCTTGAAAAAGAACATTGGGACTTGGATAGGGATGGTATTAAATATGTAAATTGCTTTGGATGATGTTGATTATTCTAATTCATGAGCATGGGATGTTTTCCCATTTGTTTGCCTCATCTATGATTTCTTTCACTGGTGTATTGTAGTTCTTGTTGTAGAGATTTTCACCTCCTTGGTTAAATGTATTCCTAGGTAATTTATTTATATGTGTGGCTATTGTAAACGAAATTTAGTTCCTGATTTGATTCTCAACTTGAAAGTAATTGATATACAGACCTGCTACTGATTTTTGTGCATTGATTTTGTGTCGTGAAATACTACTGAAGTCATTTCCAAAATCTAGGAGTCTTTTGGAGGAGTCTTTAGAGTTCTAGCTATAAAATCATATCAAGAGTGAACACAAATAGTTTGACTTCCTCTTTTCCAGTTTGGATGCCTTTTATTTATTTCTCTAGCTTAATTGCTTTGGCTAAGACTTCCAGGACTATTTTGAATAAGGCTGGTGAAAGTGGGCACTCTTTTCTTGACTATACGCCTTGATGATGTTCATCTTAAGTATCTCACAGTTCTCCTCTGGGCTTTTTGTATCTGGACATCTACCTCACTAGAAAGACCAGAGAAATTTTTTTGAATTATTTCCTCAAATATATTCCCCAAACATTTAACCTTTTCTTCTTCTCCCTCAGGAATGCCTATAACTTTTAGGTTTGCTCACTTTACATAATCCTGTATTTTCCAGTGTTTCTATTTCCTAAGGGGGAATGCCTTCAACTTTTCTCCATTCATTATGGTATTGACTGTGGGTTTGTTATACATAGTTTTTAATATTTTGAGGTACGTTACTTCCATGCATAGTTTGTTGAGTGTTTTTATCATAAAGCGTGCTGAATGTTATTGAATGCTTTTTCCACATTTATTGAGATGATAATGTTTTTGGTTTTAATTTATGTGGTGAAAAACATTTATTGATTTGTGTATATTAAACCATCTTTGCATCCCTGGAATAAGCTCCCTTGATCACAGTATATTACTTTTTTGATGTGTTGTTGGATTTGTTTGGCTAGTAGGTTCTTGAGGATTTTTGAATCTATGTTTATTAGTGATATTAGCCTGTAGCTTTCTTCATCTGTTGTGTTCTTACTTAGCTTTAGTATGACATCACCCTCACCAGGGTGATACTGGCTTCATAAAATGTGTTAGGGATGAATCCCACCTTTTCAATTTCTCTGGAACATTTTCAGTAGGATTGGCACCAATTCTTCTCTGGACATCTGACAGACTATGAATTTGTGTGGTCCTGGGCTTATTTTTGTTGGTAAATTTGGTATGACTGATTTAATTTCACCATTCATTGCTAGTGTTTTCAGGATTTCTACTTTTTCCTTGTTCAATTTTATGTTTTGTCCACTTCCTCTGTTGTTTTCCAGTTTGTGTGCATAGAGATGCTCATAATAGTCTCTGTTAATTTTTGATGCTTATGTGGTATATTTGAAAGCTTGTCTTTATTATTTCTGATTGTGCCTATTTGAATCTTCATTCTTTTTTGCTTGGTTAATCTAGCTAGCAGTCTTTCAATTTGATTTACCTTTTAAAAAACCAACTTTTTGATTTTCCATTTCACTGATCCTTTATATTGATTTTTGATATGGTTTGTATCTGTTTCTCTGCCCAAATCTCATGTTAAATTTCAATCCCCAGTGTTGGAGGTAGGGCCTGGTGGGAGGTGATTGAATCATGGGGCAGTTCCTCATGGTCTAACATTATTCCCCTTGGTGGTGTTGTGGTGATAGTGAGTTCTCATGAGATCTGGTTATTTAAAAGTGTGTGGCACCTCCAGCCTCTCTCTATCTTCCTTCTGCTCTGGCCATGTGAGGTCCTCACTTTCCCTTTGACTTCCATCATGATTATAAGTTTCCTGAGGCCTTCCCAGAAGCTAAGCAGATGCCAATATCATGTCTCTGTACAGCCTGTGGAACCATAAGCCAATTAAATCTAATTTCTTTATAAATTACCTAGTCTCAACTATTTACTGCAGTGCGAGAATGGACGAATGCAATTTTTGTCTCAAGTTTACTTATTTCTGCTCTGATATTTGTTATTTCTTTTCTTCTGCTACCTTTGGATTTGGCTTGTCCTTGTTTATATAGTTCCTTGAAATGTGACATCTAGATTGCTAATTTAAGATTTTTCTGTTTCTGATGTAGGCATTTAACACTACAAACTTCTCTCTTAGCACTGTTTTTGCCTTATCCCAGAAGTTTTGTTATGTTGTGTCTCCATATTCATTTATTTCAACAACTTTTTCAAGAAAATTTCTACCTTAGCTTAATTTTTTATCTAAAGATCATTCAGGAGTAAGTTAATTTCCATGATTTTGTATATTTTTTAGAGTTTCTCTTTTTATTAATTTCTAGGTTTATTCCACTGTCGTCTGAAAAGATTCTTGATATAATTTTAATTTTAAAAAATCATTGAGACTTGTATTGTAGTCTAGCATATGGCCAATTAAAAAAAGTTTCACACACAGAAAAGAAGAATGTATATTCTGCAGTTTTGGGGTAGAATGATTTGTAAATGTTCATTTAATTCCAGAGTTTTCTGTTGATTTTCTGCCTTGATAACCTATGCAGTGCTGTCATTGTGGTGTTGAAGTATTTTCTTAAGTTTAGTAGTATTTGTTTATGAACCTGGGTTCTTTAATATTGGGTGAATATATATTTAGGATCATTATATATTCTTATTGACCTGATCCCTTTATCATTATCTAGTGACCTCTGTTTGTCTTTTTTAAACTGTTCTTGATTTAATGTCTGTTATATCCTACATTAGTATAACTACTCATGCTCACTTTTTTCCCATTTGCATAGGATATCTTTTTCCACCCCTTTACTTTGAATTTGTTAATGTATTTACCCATTAGTTGGCTTTCTTTTAGATAATGTGTCATTGGATCTGTTTTTTAAATCCAGTTTGCCATTGTAAATATTTTAAGTGGAGCATTTAGTCCACTGACATTTAAGGTTAATGTTAATATGAAAGGTGTTGCTCTGTCATGATGTTAATTGTTATCTAGTTGCTTTGTATTCTCAATTGTGGGCTTGCTTTATATTCTCAATTGTGTGCTTGCTTTATAAGATCTGTAAGTTATAAATTCTCATGTGTTTTTGTGATAGTGATTATCATCCTTTCATTTCCATGTGTATAATTCCCTTGAGAATGACTTGTAGGATCTGTCTGGTGGTGACCAATTACCTTAGCATTTACTTGCCTGAGAAATTACCATGTAAGGTTTTGTTCCTGTCATGATGTTAATTGTTATCTAGTTGCTTTGTATTCACAATTGTGTTCTTGCTTTATAAGAACAGTGAATTTTTAAATTCTCATGTGTTTTTATGAGGAGGATTATCACCCTTTCATTTCCATGTGTATAACTCCCTTGAGAATTTCTTGTAAGATTTGCCTAGTGGTGACCAATTCTCTTAGCATTTACTTGTCTGAGAAATACTTAATTTCTTCTTCCATAATGAAAGTTAGTTTAGAAGGACAAAACATTCTTGGCTAGCAGATCTTTTATTCAAGAAGACTGAAAATAGGGCCTTAGTCTCTTCTGGCTTGTAAGGTTTCTGGTAAGAAGTCTGCTGTTAGTCTGATGGGATTTCTTGTATATGTGATTTGATCCTTCTCTCTTGTTGCTTTTAGGATTTTTTCCTTCTGTTTACTTTGGACAGTCTGATGACTATATGCCTTAGTGATGTTCATCTTGTTAAGTATCTCACAGGTCTCTTCTGAGCTTTTTGTATCTGGACATCTATATCATTAGCAAGACCAGAGAAAATTTTCTGAATTGTTCCCTCAAATATGTTTCCCAAACTTTTAACTTTTTCTTCTCCCCTCTCAGGAATGCCTATAACTTGGAGGTTTGATTACTTTACATATTCCCATATTTTCCAAAAGCATTATTCATTTTTTAAATTGTTTTTATTTCTTTTCTGTCTAAGTTATTTCAAAGACCAGTCTTCAAGCTCTGAAATTGTTTCATCTGCTTGGTCTAGTTGATTGCTAACACATTCAAATGAATGTTGTGGTCCTTTAGTAAATTGTTTATATTTTCATAAGTTCTATTTGTTTTGTAAAAATATCTGTCTTTAGGGAATGTTTATTCATATTTTAAATTATATTTCTGATTCATTTGCATTGCATTACAACTTTCTCTTGTATCTGATTGAGCTTCCTTACAATTTATAGTTTAAATTTTTAATCTGTGTCTATAGAATTTTCAGTCTATTGCTGGAGAGGTAGAGTGATCATTCTAGATTGCCACAACACTCTCTTTTTCATTTTTTTCCAGAGTTCTTATGCACGTTCCTTGTCAGTTGGAGAAGTTGTCATTTATTTTTTAATTTGGTTTGGGCCTTTTTTCCTCTTTAAAATTGTGACTGTTGCATATATTGGGTAGAATTAGGATCTTTTTGCTTTGCTTCTTTGTGCTTGTTGGTAGCCAAGGCTCTGTATGCATTCTTTCATTATAGATAGGCTTAGTGTAGTGGTTTTCTCAAATGCTGGTTGTTTGTAGGTTGTAGTAGTGACATATTGTATGTGGGGGCAGGCTAATGATCTCCTGCACAGATGGGAATGTAGAGGTCTTGGGAGGTTTATCTCATTCCCCAGTGCTGTACATTTCTGACAGCAGGAATTATATTGAGTGCTGCGGCTCATGCTACAGGTGAGTAGGGGGTGCTTGCAGGCAAGAACCACTCAAGCAGGTTACAATGGTGTCAGCCGTAGTTGTAATGGGTGATGCAGCTTGACCTCCAGGCCAGCAGGTGGCACTTGCAGGAGAGAGCCAGCTGCAGTAGTGGCAGTATAATTTTTACTGGCATTTGTTAATCAGAAGTGCCAAGGTGTTCTTGATGATATGCAGGACCAGGAAGGTCCCAGGATTCCCCATCCTAGGCTTTGCCACCAAGGTGGCTGTCTGGGGAAAATATGGATGGGGCTGGGTCAGGCAAGCCCACTACCAGGCTCTGCAAGGCAGGTGCAAATGGGAACCTTGCAGGGGCTTAAGGACAGCTCTCAGACCACTGAGGCAACCCTTCAAGGAGGGATTTGAGGTGCCTCTCCCACACCATATAGCCAACAGAGGGAAAAAGAGATGGCTAGAGTCTTCAGCCTGGCAGGCAGAGGTGGAACCTGTTCAGCTTCCACACCCTCAAAATAGCAGGTCTCCTTCCAGCATCTGGCCATGGCAGCAGGCCAGAAGGTTTAAGCCAGTTCTAAGCATTCTATGTTCAGATCCCTGAGGCCTTCCAGATGACTCCCTACCTGGAGGAAAAACTGCAATATCAGGCCACAACCTTCTTGGTTCATTCTTTTGAAAGGAGGAGTGTCCAGCTTCTACATCACAGCACAAACATATGCCACACTTTTCTTGCTTTTCTGGCAATGGAGCTCCTCTCTTGCTCAAAATCATATCACCAATCTTATCTTCATGACCCTGGATGGTATGCTTGTGTCCTGGGTGTATTAGTCTGTTCTCATGCTGCTAATAAAGACATATCTGAGACTGGGTAATTTATAAAGGAAAGAGGGGAGGCCTCACAATCATGGCAGAAGGCAAATGAGGATCAAAGTCCTGTCTTGTAAGGTGGCAGGGAAGAAAGCATGTAGCTAGGATCACAGAGACCCATGGTTGGAATATAAAGCTCCAGAGTTCCTTCACTTACCCCTTCCTTGGGTCTGAGTTCAGGTCCCTGGACTGTTCTCAGTACTCAGCAACCCTAAACATTCAGCCCTGTTTCCTATTTCTTTAATCACGGTATCTCTCATCACCTTTCTATTGTATTTTAGTGTTCGGGCTTAGAAAATCTATTTGAAATGCAAAGATTTTTTGGATATTTTTGCTCTTCTCTATGGGAGAGGCACGTCCTAGCTGCATCGAGTTAGCCCTCTTGAACTTTTCCCTCAGAACCAATATTCCACTAATTTTATGATCATTTATATCACATTTAATTTGCCTAATAGAAAAAATATTATAAAGACATATCCAAATTAAAATTTAATTCATAGAAAAAGCAGAGGTATTTATATTTAAATGTAAGTGAAGAGGGAAATAGGAAAATCTATGCATTATAAATTATTCACATATTAAAGATATGTGAATAATTGAAGTCAATTCTGTGTTATAAGGCCATCTTCAATTGACTTATGATTTAACAGTATCCATTTCAACACAGTGAACTTAATACTTATTATATTTATGAACGAGGCTTAAAGTACACTTATTACTAGAAAAACTAATGTTTTACATTATTGTTTTATTGTCCTCTTAACCTCAATTTGTTTTTCTGCATTTTATGTGTTTTCTTTTTCAAAAATGTATTTAATATTTGTTCCACGCTGGTTTTCAACCTTGCAACATTATGTTATTCAAAACGCTATGAAGAGGGATATGTATATAAATGTCAGAGAAAAAGAAAAAGTAAACTTATTAAAACTATAACTACCATGATTGTGTGTAAAGCAAAAAGTCACATTTTTATTATTTCTATCATCAATTAAAAATAAAGTTCTGCGCTTAACTGTAAGTAATTAATGTAACAGTTATTGGATAGTAAATATTACTGGGGATAACTAAGTTATTATCAAAGACATTTTCACAATTATATTGATGTTGTAACTCATCTTGAGCAATAGCATGTTTTGTTCTTGTATGTGAAGCCTCATAGTGGAAAAAAAAATGAAAGGTAATTTTGAGCCTTCTACATTGTCCTTAGAAATATATGCCATCTAACTGTGATGATAATATATATATCTATTACAAATGCCCATAGTTTTCTAATTAGGTACACACTGATTCTCTTCTAAATTAAAAACACACACACATGCATATTCACACATACACACACACAGAAAACAACTAGATATCATTAAAAAGGATTTACACATGAATTAAACTGTGATTACTCTAAGTTGTTAGACATTACATTTTAGAAAATCACATTTTGAAAAGTTAGAAATCTAGTTTTATAACGTTCAAATCATTAATTCACTAGTCCATATTTGTATATGGTGATGGGTCAGGATCCATGTTCAGTTTTTTCCATAAAGTAAATAATTTTTAACACTATCTGAAATCATTTATTCTCCTCCCATTGATTTGTCATGCTACCCTTTATCACATATAGACAACTTTAGGTTGGAGTTAATATTCTGTTTTATTATTTTTATTTCTTCACACAAAACCTTTATTAATGCAATGTTTTGGCTTTGGGCTACATATGTATACACATTTAAGATGTGTACGTATGTAGTGTATGTGTTGGCTTAGCTATAAATACAGCCATGTATTTATCACTGTAAGACAAATATTTTTTATCCTACTTAAAAAAATCAACAGCTATTTATTGATGTCGTTTGTCTCTATATATATATTAGAATAATTTTATGTTTATAAAACAGTCAAATATTATGGGATATTTTCCCGTGTATTCAATGACTTTCCCATATACATTTTTAATTGTAAATATTTTATTGTAGAAATATTTTTCATTATTGCTTTAAAAAATTTCAAGAATGAACACTTGTATTGTCCCTTATTTTTTCTACATTTTCTAATTGGTTGTTATATGCAGAAAATCACTACTTATTTCTGTAGTTTGAACTTGCGTCTAGCATTTGTGCTCCACTCTGTAGTTTACTTTTTCATTCAGTTGCTTTTCTAAATTGATAACTGTCGTCTATAAATAATGACAGTATTTTTCATAGATAGGAAAAGTGGTCTGTTTTTCTTCTGAAAAATTATCTAAGCTACTTACTAAATTCTGTAGTAAGTCAATATATACTATATGCATATATTACATATTTATATATTATTATTCTATTTTCATAACTTTACTAAAAGTTTATAATCTTCTTTAAAGATTTATAATGCTCCTCATATATTCAACTGATTCTTAAAATACACACTGTTACATATTTTTTTTTCAGTAACCTTTCTAACTCTATTAGTTTTCTTGGTAATGAGGGAAAAAGTGGCTTAATCCAATAAAATAAATCAAAGATTGAATAAATGTTTTGAGTTGCATAAAGATAATATAATATAATATAATATAATATAATATAATATAATATAATATAATATAGTAAAAATATAGGCCGGGTGCAGTGGCTCACACCTGTAATCCCAGAACTTAGGGAGGCCAAGGCAGGCGGATCACCTGAGGTCAGGAATTCGAGACCAGCCTGTCCAACATGGTGAAACCCTGTCTCTACTAAAAATACAAAAATGAGACAGGTGTAGTGGTGGGTGCCTATAATCCCAGCTACTTGGGAAGCTGAGACAGGGGAATCACTTGAACCCAAGAGGCAGAGTTTGCAGTGAGCTAAGATCACCCCATTATACTCCAGCCTAGGCAACAATAGTGAAACACTGTCTCAAAAAAATATATATAAATATAAATAAGGCCTTCTTCATTTCCTTCTTTGGGTTATTAAGGTACTATTTATGTAAACAATGAATATTGGCTTGTGTAAATGCAACAAAAATATGACCTTCATTGAGTGCTATTTCAGGGTTCCCCAAGAGTATCTTCAGGTTTTATGATTCATTAGAAGGATTCTCTAGACTCCGAAGAGCTATTGTACTATCAGTTATGTTTTATTGCAGAGAAAGAATACAGATTAAAATCAGTAATCAGAAAAGGCACATGGAACAAAGCCCAGGAGAAACCAGTTCTGTCAGCAACAAAGATTGCTCCCTGGCATTTGGGCCTCCAACACTACAATTTACACAGCACCAATGCAACTTCACATTTCTGTATCGATTCCACTGATCACTGTTGATATATGTTTATATGAACATGTATTTTTGCACATAATTACATATAAATGCTTCTGTCATATGTAGTTCATGTAACCATGAACTAAGATTAGTATATTCATTATATTCATTCTAATATGTTAATAATAATTCTTAATATATTTGTAATATATTTTCTGATAATGGAATCTGTCTATATGCAAAATTTGCTTGTTGTTATGTAGTAAATATACATTGGGGTATGCCTACAGCATATGTGTGTATATTTTGTCCAGTTAAACTTTATTTTTAAATTATATTTTACGTGCTACAGAAAGATATCATAGAAATGCCTGTCTCTTTTTCAAGAAACTATTTCTACCAAAACAGTGAAAATGTGCTAATAATTAGAAATAATAAATGTCTTCTATTTGAGACTCTTTTGCCTTTCTTTAACTGAAATTGTCTTTTAGAAAAGCTATTACTTATGGATTATTTTCATGGAAACACATATTTATTTCTTTTATTCCTTTAACTTAATGAGATTAGTTATAATGTTCCAAAATACATGAAAAAATAATGATTTCAAAATATGTTTTGCACAGTACCAAATGTTAAAATAGATTTGAAGTATGATGGCTACCTAATATTTTAAGTACTTATGCTCCTGTTTTAATATTTTATTTACAAATAAAACATAGTCAATACTTGATGTATTAATATATTAGAAATAGTTCTATCCAAAACTATGGCCAAAGTAGGCACCACACCTGTTTTTATGGAAAGTATAATAAAGGGATACACATTAAACTAACAATTCTAAAATTATTTCTATCAATGATAAAGAGTATGAAGGAAATCTATCACCTGCTCTATAAATACAGTTTGGGGAACCCTTCCCCCGTTTGGTAGATTACTAAGATTTCCCAAATCACTCACTGTTTCATCTCCGACACCACACCTTTTCTAGATGCTCTTCTTTCTCCCAATTATTGAACCCAGAAAACTCCCATATAATATTTTTCAACTTCTGCTTTTGATTTCATCTAACTTTTTAGGTAATGTTATCCTATCTTATAATTTAAATCATATTTTCTATGCTGATAAAACCTGCATTTATATTTTGATTCATATGCCTCAACCGCTATATTCAACTATCTCTTTGAAACTTTTTTAAAAATCTCATATTTAATATATCCCAAACAGAAAACTTATCCCTATACCCAAATTCTAGAAGAATTTGTTTACCGATAGGTTGTTTACTGATTAGATGTTAAGTATAAGGAAAAAGAAGTCAAGAATAACACTAGTGATTTTGGCTTATGCATCTATGTGAATGGGGATTCCTATTTTACTGAGATTGAATTTGGGTATAGGGATAACCCAAATTCTTCTAGAATGACCTTTAAAAATTAGGAGATATACCTAATGCTAAATGACAAGTTAAAGGGTGCAGCACACCAACATGGCACATGTATATATATGTAACAAAACTGCACGTTGTGCACATGTACCCTAAAACTTGAAGTATAATAATAATAAAATTTAAAAAAAAATAATAAAATAAAAACAAAGTTGAACAGGTTAGCATTTGAAACAGGTACATGGGGAGCATTATAAAGGGGCTCATTTAGGAATTAGCTACCTGCAGAACATCTTCATGTCAGAAAGATTCCTCGAACTCCCCCTGAACTTTCACAGAAGCATAATGGGACTCACAGCAATACTAATCCTTAGTGGCAATCCTAAATACATGGACCCACTTTCTCCCATATCACTATATGTGACATTCTGCAGACTGTGCACACTCACGTGTGCACGCACACACACACGCACACACACACACACACACACTTTGGGTGAAAGATGCACTATTAGTTAAAGCAAAAAAAATCATAAAATGTGCAATTGTATTGGGTTTGTAAAAGAAGAATACCTTATTAATTACCATGATTGACATTGAAATGACCAAAAAAATTCAACAGTAGAAAAAGAAGAAAAATAGGGAAACATGATTTTTTCACTATATTTGCCTTAATTAGAGGAGTGACTTTTTCCAAGCGCATAATCATACTCTCTTTGGGGTGGTGGCATATAAGTAGATTGAGTTTAGACAGGGCTTTTTCTAACTCTGAAGGCATCTCATAGTTCCTGACACACACTTAGGTGTGCCTCTCTTCTTGAGAGTTACCAAGTATAATAAAGGCATTACTAACACTTGCTTTTTGTGCCTGAGGGGAGTGTAGAGACATTTTTTTTAAAAAAGGAAAATCTCCTGGGAAATATTATAATATCACAAAATTCACCTCTGTGAAGAAATGTCTTTGGTTGGATGATTCTCAAGGAAATATGGATGGAAGAACAGAGGCAGAGAAAGAGCAGGGATCGGGGGTGGAAAAAAATAAAAATAAAATAAAAAATAAAAATAAAATTATCTTCACCACCCCCGCCACTCCATGCTAGTCCAAGTCACATCATCTTTGATTTATGCAACAGCAGTAGCCTTAACACTTGGTCTCATTGTGTAAGGTCACTAGACCCCCTCAATTCTACCCTCCACTGAATGACTAGAATTGTATTTTGAACCTACCTGAACAAAATGAAAAGACTTTAGCTGGGTTTACCAACATTTATATGAAATTACTCTTTGGTTGCTAACTTTTCAACTTTTTTTTTCAAATTACTCTTTTCCTAATATACTCTGCCTCACTAAATAACTATTTTATTCATCAAATATTCTGTCTTTGTCACGTCACTGCAGGCTGCCACAACAAAGTATCATAAACTAGATGGCTTAACAAACAAGAATGCATTTTCTCACAGGACTGAAGTATTTTCATGCTCTTCCCTTTCTAAAACAAAACAACAAAAAAAGAAATGTGCCTGCTTAAAAAAATCATGGAAGCTTGATTATATACTTCACACTCTCATGAACTTAACTACAAAATACAGCATTTTCTTTAGAATGAAATAAAATTTAGAGATTATTTAGTCCATGCCATCTTTACTAATGCAGTATTTTTTTTTGCAATTTTTAAATCCAATTCATAGATGTAGTCTCACATTAAACACACTTAGCACTTAACAAGAGAGAATGCATTGAATGTCTAATGCTTTCTTTGACACAAGAAATGCAAACAAATCTTGCATACTCACTTTAAGAATTAATCCTTTATTATAGTCATATATATAAACTCTGGGGCAATTAAGATCATAAAAGTTGTTTTATTGTTGGCAATTAATCTCTTCAGCAGTTTTTTTTTAACTTGGCATCTATTACAAAAGAAATTCTCAGTTTTGCATTAAATATACACCAAAAATTTACCCCTTAAGTTTAGTTTACAAGTGTTTTTAATTCCAAGATTGTCTCTTTTACCTTTAGAAGTCTGTGTTAGTAAAACTATAGAGTCATGTTCCAGGAAACAAATGAATTAATAGAAATTCCAACAAAAGCCATCAAAGCTGTATGGAGGTGACAAATTGACTCAGAGACTCAACAGTGGTTATACATTATTACATTTTTATTTTAATTACTGATAGTTCCTTTGAGATTGCCACATAAAGGGAGAAATGTTTCCTCTTGTTGAGTGCCTAGAGGACTCATAAATAATGCACACATATTTGCCAGTTAGTACCTGCATTTTAATCAGTCTTCTGCCGTCATATAGTAATGCATTTATACATCTGTTATGTGATTTAATTATTAGTAGCATCCCAATGAGTAATGAGCATATAAAATTATAATACCTGTAATGTAAAAATTGAAAGTTTAAAGAATTTTTTTTCTCTTTTATAGATGACTGCAATACCACTTTAAAAATGTTGAGTGTAAATACAAGAATTAAGTATTTTCTTTATATATTAATCTATGTAGAACTTATGGTGGGCCATTAATGTTAGAAATGAGAATACAAATATTAAACTCAAGATCATGCACCTCTTAATTAAATAGTCATATTAAAATGCAATCATTTGGCTGAGATTAAAAGTCACATACTTACAGAAATATGACATTATTTATTAGGGAATGATAGTTCCTTTAAATTAATTATATACACTTGTTTATAAATATTTATCATAAAACAAAAGGTAAATGCTTGAGGTGAGGAATACCCCATTTACCCTAATGTGATTATTTTACATTGCATGCCTGTATCAAAATATCACATATACCAGATAAATATATACATCTAGTATGTACCCACAAAAGTTAAAAATAAAAAAAAAATAGGCCGGGCACGGTGGCTCAAGCCTGTAATCCCAGGACTTTGGGAGGCCGAGGCAGGCAGATCACTTGAGGTCACTTGAAGTTTGAGACCAGCCTGACCAACATGGTGAAACCCTATCTCTACTAAAAATACAAAAATTAGTCGGTTATGGTGGCACATGCCTGTAATCCCAGCTACTCGGGAGGCTGAGGCAGGAGAATTACTTGAACCCAGGAGGCGGAGGTTGCAGTGAGCCGAGATCTTTTCACTGCACTCCAGCATGGGTGACAGGGTGAGACTCCGTCTCAAAAATAATAATAATAATAAATAAAAATATACATTAGCAAAATTTTTAACATTGTCTTTATTGTTTTAAATTTTCTTAATTACAAAAAGAAATTTTATAACTGTTAACAAATTTAAACAAGAGACCAGTGAGCAAATAATACTTAAAAATCTCCCTAACCCCAATTTTACTATCTGGAGTAAACAATGCCCTGCCCTCCCCTGACCACCCAAAAAAACGTAACTTTTTCTAATTGGCTATTCAACCTCTGTCATCCTTCAGTCTCTGAATGTATTCAAAGTGATTCCAGCACGCTTTAGATAGATGGAAATTTTATGTTCTTAAAATTTGTGTAGAGATAAACCATTAAAGATGTCTGAATCTCACGTCTTTTTTTCCTTTGGAATATCTGACGCTTTAACATTTCATAAACATAATAAACTAAAGATAATTGGTTTATTAAAGTTTTATTAACCAGTTTTGATTTAGTTTTTCAGGAAAATATCTTTCTTTTTTTTTTTCTTTTCTTTTTTTTTTTCTTAAGACCAGGTTGGGCCTACAGGAAATACAATAGGCTGATCATATAACTTAGTAAAATGTCCTGGCTTTGTCAAGTCCTGGATTTTTAACTATTTCAATCTCCCACACTGTTGCCCATTTTTCTCACAACACACAAACTTTTCTTCAAAATTCTCATTATCAGATGTTTATGAAGACATAAATCTGATCAATTTTTCTCTTTTCTCTTTCACTCTACTCTTACATATGAAAGATATAATGCAAGAAAAATAATTTCTGCATTTTCACTTGACCTACAGTATTAAGGACAAATGGAAAAAGGTAGTATTGGAACAAACTGGTGACTACCTGTCCTGTTCAAGGTGTGTAGCAACTACTCAGCTCCATGGAAGAATGCTATACTAGTTTTGTTGAATTTTCCATATTTTTACAAGAAGCTAGAAATCTTTATTTTGATGTGAACTCAATTAGTGTTTACTTTGGCAACAATTATAATTTATTTAAAACATTACTCATCTATAACAAGTACAAAATTAGATAGTGAGTGTTTATCTCGATTTTTAAGTTTATTACATGAATAGTTTTTCACAGTAGTTTCAAATACATATATTTTTTAATCTTCATTGTTTGCATCAATATAAAATCTATGGTATTCCCAATATATCTTAGTTTTTTATATAATTTTGTTTTAATTTTTAAATTGGTCAGAATTTCAAAGAAAAGTATCTGAATTTTCTTAATTATTTTTATACATGAAATCTAATATTTCGTATATTCTTATTTTTATGTATGAAATATACTTATTTTGAAATTTACATTGTAATTTTTTGCAATTATCTTCCTTAATCTTTTTCTTTAAAAAGTAAGTGACATTATTCCACTTTTACTGTAATGGACTAGTTGGTAGAAAACCAATGCTCTTGCAAATAATGAGTGAAATTGCTGGCAATAATATAACTAAAACAAAATAACTTCTTTGAAGCATTGGAGAACTTTTGAGGAAGCTATAATTTAATGGAACCAAAATCCATTAGAAAACAAATGCATGTTTAAATATACATGCCAGTTTTGTTTTGGCTCCACGTGTCAATTTTTAAGCTGCAGAGAAAAGAGGCTGTGAAGTCAGGTGGAGAGCTGCCAATAGGAAGCAAATAATTCAAATGAGCTCTCAGCAATAATATGGCCCTAAGCAGGAAAATAAAATCAGACTTGCCAAAGTAGACATTGATGGCCTAGATCTCAGTGATATGGAAGCACAGGGGAGATGTGGCAGACTTATTACTCTGATTAATCTTTCTCTTAAAGATGTGCAAAGCTAGGCATTAGTATTCTGAAAAGATGTCAGACTTCTGCTTCCAGGAAGGTAAAGTAGACATCCTTTTCTCAATTATTCCAGCTATGGGCTTCTAAAAGCCCTGGAATTACATATTAAAACAAATTTATAAAGATTTTGAAAAGGTGGACAGAAGGCTAACCAGCAAAGGACCTCGGAGCCTAAGAATTAATGCAGTAGTGAATTCTTCGGGTTTGCTTTTGGCCTCATCTACCCCAGACTTAGAGCAGAAGAGTCCTGCAAAGCAGAAATGAAAACAGGGCAGACAAAAATGCCCCAACAAAAGTCTGCCCTCTCTAACCAAGACAGGAACATGGAAAACCACCAAGGCAGAACACTGTTAGACAGTAAATGCTAAACACTACATAAAAACAAATTCTGGCCCCACACTCCCCCATGCCAGCAAAAGCTGGTATGAAAGCCAAGACTTCCACCTTCAAACTGTGAGAAGGTATCCCACATGCTGCTTGGGAGCTGCCACAGAAAGTTCAGCAGGGAGCCAGGAAGTTGAGGCTTTCTTCCCCTCAGGCAGTAACAAAGCGATAAAATAATGGTTTCCTTAAAAGATGTGATTCTAGTTCAAATGTATATACATTAGGGAAAAAATTTCACCCTGACCTCTACCACAGATATGGCATCAATTCTAAATAGATGACTCAAATATGAAAGGTAAAAACATAAAGTTTTTAGAAATAAACATAGGTCAATATCTTTATTAATTTTGAGGGGTAAGAAATACATTAAACAAAACATTAAGTATACTAACCATAAAGGAAACATTTGGTAAATTGAGCTACATGAAAATGAAGAACTTATATCACCAAAAATGACCACTAAAAGACTGATTTCGCAAGCCACAGAGTGGAAGAAAGTCAATATGGTACCTATATCTGATAAGAAATTCCATGTAGAATATATAAATAACCAAAATAAATCAATAAGAGAAAGAGCAACAACACAGTGGGAAAATAGTGCAAAGTCTTCATCAGATATTTTTTAATGATATATGCAAAAATCCAATAAAAGTACATAATTTTATCAATAATCAGAAAAAGGAAAATGTAAACCAAGATGCAATAATAATGCTGAGAGGAAAATTTTAATTGTAGGTCTGCGTTCATCATTTCAGTTTCAATAATGCAGTTTTTCACCATCTCAATACAGTTATTAGTTTAATTTTATTACATAATATATCAAAAAAGTATAAAAGTATACCAGATCTAAGACAAATAAATACTTAATTATCAAGATTGTTTACTGAGTAAAAATAAGAGTTTTGACTGAGAAGCAGCTGCAGTAAAGAATACAAAATATGCTAGGCACGGTGACTTATTCATATAATCCCAGCACTTTCGGAGGTTGAGGTGGGTGGACCTCTTGAGGACAGGAGTTCGAGACCAGCCTGGCCAACATGGTGAAACCCCATCTCTGCTAAAAATTCAAAAATCCAGCTACTTAAAATAATTATGTGACACTAAGAAGCACATAAAATTAATATAATTATTCCAGATTATGTAAATAATGAAGTTACTCCAGAAATAAAGCTTCCTGAGACAAGAGGAAGAGAACTGTCTTGCAGATTTTGAGGATTCAGAAGCTGGTGCATGTTATTTCTTAGTTACATTTTTCCATGATCACATTCCTTTTCTATCTGAACCTTGACTTTAACATGTAAAGGTTTGTGGCTTTAGACTTTATAAGTTCCGCATATTTGAACTCCTGTGCAACTTTATACTTATGATTAAATGATGGGTCTGATTTTTATAATAGTCTCCCTTGTAGCTTTAGAAGATAAGGATCTCTAAATGTTTTCTTTCACAGGGCACTTTTGATTTCACAGCATAAACTGAGTTTAGATTTTCAGAACTGAGTCTATTATTTCTTAAGTCTTTCAATGTAGTTAATAAAACCCCACTTACTCATCAATTATATAACTACATTTATGCCTATTAGATTCAAATATTAGGGATATTACATTATCCATTGTTTCCTCTTTTACTTCTACCTCTTGCCAATCCATCACTGTTTAGAGACTTAGTAAGTGTTACGTAGAAGCATGCCAATGTTTTACCTTTTTACTTTCCACCAGCAATAAAGTCCTAATAGTGGTTTTGTTGCAATCTCCTTACTCCTTAGTTTAGCGAGGTCCAAGTTCTTGTCCCATGACCAAGAATTAGGCATGCAAACACTGGAGAGTAAGGCAGAGTAGGGTTTATTACATGACAGAAAAGTTCTCAGCAGCAAGAGGGGACCCAAAGAGGGTTGCCAAAAATGGGCCTGAGTTCTGGGTCTTTTATGTGGCAGAAACATGGAAGTCTTCTGTGGGTTTGCCCTAATGGGAGGGGTAAAGTTCACCCCCTGGGGGTGTTGCATCTGGGCATTCCTGGGGTTGGCCATAGTGCCTCCATCTTGGATATTACCCATGAGTGCTTAAGCAAAACCCGTGGGGTTAAAAACACAATGCTAATTGCGTCATGATGAGTTCAGGGTCATTTTACAATGCGCTTGGTCCTTGTCTGTACCTGTGGGGTGGCTGGAAAATCCATTCTGAGAAAGTATCTTGGTATTGTGTAAGAGGAAGCTCTTAACCACATTTCCTCCTGCCAGCTACATAACAGGGATGGTGCAGGTGGGGTCCCGCAGGTATTGTCTGTCTTCCAAGACCCTCCCTCTCTATCTGCCTAACCACCCACCACCTGCCTCCTCTCTCAGTTTGATCTTTGCGTTATCAAGTTCCAGATTCTATTTCAGTGGGTCTGCTTTCAGTGACCATTTCAGACAGCAATTATCTTATGCTGTATTCCTTAAAAGCAGAATTTTAGATAACTTTTATGTACTTAATATTTTGTATTTAAGCATTATTACTTAAATACAAAATATTTGTATATAATACAAATAAAAAATGATATTTAAATGCATTTAGGTAATATTACTTAAATACAAAATTAAGTATTACATACTTAATTTTGTATCAATAATTCTATTGACATAAATTTAAACAATTTTAAAGAAACAATATCGAGTGAGGCAGAAAACTGATACAGATAAGAGGAAATAGCCCACATAATGGTACATAATCAAGGCTGGTGCTATAGGTGACAGGGGCTCAATGATTGGACCTCTAAGAATTTCATCAGGAGTTCCTTAGAATTTTTCCACTTACAGATGGAAAGCTGGCTCATGTTTTATCTATCTCAAGTTCTCCAATTTTGAGAAATACAGTGGGAGGGGCAGGATTTACTTTTCTGTACTTTTGTGCTTCACTTGCCCAGGGGGAAAAATAGCATACTTGATGATAGAGAATGCTTTTGTATAGAATGTGGAAAGATGCCTAGCATTAGCTGAGACATAGTCAACGAGAGGAGAATCAGATATTTTGTTCACACCGGCAGCTCAAATCAAAGAGTGAGGAACATAATACTGGCCACTGGAGAACCTGGCAGCATCATCAATTCAGGCATAATACCATAAAGAAATTAGGAAGCCAGGCGTGGTGGCTCACGCCTATAATCCCAGCACTTTGGAAGGCCAAGGCAAGTGCATCACCTGAGGTCGGGAGTTCGAGGCCAGCCTGACCAACATGGAGAAAGCCTGTCTCTACTAAAAATACAAAATTAGCCAGGCGTGGTGTCTGGTGCCTGTAATCCCTGCTACTCGGGAGGCTGAAGCAAGAGAATCGCTTGAACTCAGGAGGTAGAGGTAGCGGTGAGCCGGGATCATTCCATTGCACTTCAGCCTGGCCAATAAGAATGAAACTCTGTTTCAAAAAAAAAAAAGAAAGAAAGAAAAAGAAAAAGAAATATGGAGAAGAGAAGGAAATAATTTGAAAAATTATCACATACTCTTCAGTGAATGTTTGCAATTCCTACATTTTCTCACATTTGGGCTAGTGTAGCCATCATGTTACTGTCAACACATTCATATATTTTCACCCATGTGATTCCAGATGGTGCCTATATTAAGTCACCATTTCTATTTTACATAAATTATCAAATATTATATTTATATTATTACAGATATAGAAAAAATTCAAAGTAAATTTTATAATCTAGGAAGAGAGAATAAATGATTTAGAAAAATAAACAATTTAAACTGCCATTTAATATATGTCTAATTATGGATATATGTACATATATCTATAATGTATGGATCATATGTGTGATCTCATTATGACTATGAAAAGATATAAACCACAATTAATATGGAAGGAGCAAAAGAGTTCAGCTTTTACATTTGTTTCTACCCAAAAAATGATATTTAAAAATATACAACAGGTATATTCATAAATTAGAATTAAAGAAAAAATTTTAAGATATTTTATCAAAAATTAGTTTAGGTTTCTTAAGTTGACATTTTTCTCATACTTAATTCTTGAAGTATATATATATAAATAGGTTTGAATTATTTCTGAATAATAATACTTATAGCACAGGCTAGTTACCATGACATTTTATGAAGTAATAATTGATGGTTGGATTGATACATTTTTATAGGAATTACTCTATGTTGCTCTAAGGCATAATGAAAGCTACATCACTTGGGAAAAAAACTTTTCAACTCTATTACACAGTCATGCATCACTTTATGATAGAGATATGTTCTGAGAAATGTGTTGTTAGAAAACTTCACCATTGTGTGCACAATATAGATTGTACTTACACAAACCTAGATGGTATAGCCAACAATACACCTAGGCTACATGGTATAGCCTATTGCTCGTAGGCTACAAAATCTGTATAGCATGTTATTGTAGTGAATACTACGATATAGTAGGTAACTGTAACACAGAGGTCAGTGTTTTTATATCTAAACATAAAAAGGTCCAGTAAAAATATGGTATTATAATCTACATGACCACCATTGTAGGTGTGCTGTCATTGATCAAAACATTCTTATGTGCTACATGGTTACAAATTATTGAAGTGACTATGAGACATTAGTGGTCTTTTAAAATAATACAACATTCAGGAACTAATCAACTTACCCCAAAATTATTTTTAGCATTGAAAAAACCCTGAAAATAATAAAACATAGTAGAAAAAGATATAATGCTAAAAAAGTAAATTCTGGTTGATATTTCCAAGAATATGATATAATTACTTACATTTTCTATTATGTAAAGGCAATAGGCATCAACGGGGCACTAACAGATGGTTCTACAATTTTTGTTTTTCCCAAAGACTTTATCCTATAAAATGATCACAAGAAAAGTCATTAGGTTCACATAAAAATCCTTCTTACTAGCACTTTGAAAATAGCAACAATATCAGCAAGTCTATGATAAACCTCAAAAATATTAAGCATATAAATGCCTACTTTCTTAATATGTAGTTTTCATGTAAATTAGTCCTGCTACTTCACACAGATGTGTATTTTAGAGTCTTTGGCAAACGCTCTTCAATATACTTACAAAAGTTTTCTCAATAAGGTTAGAATTATTTAGGCAGTAAGCTTGTTTTGCACATGGTACTATTAAAATTTATATGTTAGCATTGATTAAACATACTCACAAATAATTAGGATATATGTCATATGCTATCAATAATTATTCTTTGCATTTATTTTAATGATCCTTTATTGTTACTAAATTTAAATTAGAAAGGATTTATGATTAAAATAATACACCAAATACCACATATAAATGCAAGTTCTTATTTCTAAAACTTAGTAGACAAAGAAATTCTGATTACAAGAATAATCTGAGAAGACTAAATCACTTTGAAACTTTATCAAAGTCTTAACTGTTAATGAAAAACCTTTCAGTGATGAAAAGCCCTCAATAACATTGATTGATCCACCTTTTTAAGGGCAAAATAAGGCCATATTTCATCAGGGAGTTTAGACATTGATAAATTTATCACATGAAAACCTTTCTAGTATTCAGCCTGAACAACAGTGAATTGTAGCCTATAGTGAGAATTTACAGCCATAATATGAAATTCATAACCCATCCTTTTATTTATTGTAGAAGTCTCCTGAATACTAGCAAAGTTATAAATGGTGAATTAAATCACAATAATGTTGCGATTTATTCTAAGGCTTCCCTTAAAGAAAAAAAAATGTCTGGGAAATGATTATCAGTAACCTAATTTGGTTTTATAGCTTAATAATTAGTTTTGTTAGCATATATAAGATTAAATTACATCATTAGCTAAATGAATTCATTAGTTCTACTGGGGAAAAATGTTGAGATACTTGGAGTTAAATCTCTGAGGTGAAAAATCGACACGACAGTTTTTAGTGTGTAGAGCTAGGTGCAGCTCTACAGAGTTTTTGCTTCTGTTGTAATGTGAATCAACATGGAAGTAGATGTTGAGACAAAGCCTTAGGGAGAATAGATTTTATCTGTTTATTAAATTCATACAACTTGGTATTGGAAAGTTTAGTCTTTCTTTTCAGAAAGTTTACTATGCCTTAACAAAATCCTAGCTAATATCAAATATTATTTTCTTATGTTCTTAAATTATTTTAACCTTAACAAAAATATTAAAAATAATAACTTTTAGTGATCACTAACTAAAAATTGATTGCATGAAAGCAAATTGTTAATTGTAAGATTTACACCAAGAAACAGACAAAAGTGTGGCTTCAATAAAAATAAAATTAAGCAGAAAATGGAAATAAGTACATTTGCTAATAAAAACAAAAGTATTAATTCGAATCCAGCTACACTAAGATAGAATTCTTTACATTAAAACTTTAGCAAAAAGCCATAAAATTATACCTACAATGGAAAAATGAAGTCTCCACAGTTAAAGAGAGAAAATAAATATAATTGGATCACAAGTTCTTATATATTTTAGTCATTTCATACACCAACTTTTTTAAATTTTATAATGCATAAATTGATAAGAAACCTTTATGATGTAAAATTTTAAATGGCACTAAAAATGATAAAGTAAAATACATTCTTAGCCTCCATTTTCCAGGAGAAATTTCTTCTCACCAATATATTGTCTTAAAAACAGAATCAATCCAGGGATAACTACACATTTTAAAATATATAAAATTCTTTCTAAACTATTCACATATGCAAAGGTACAGAGCTTGAAGAAAGATGGAAATTGTTTATTTTAGGAAAGATAAAGTTATTAATACATTTGTTAAATTGGCAGGAAACAACTACATAGATATTAAAAATCTGTAGGTAATCACAAGGGGAATAAAAACTGATATATGTTATTTTAAAATAATTGAAACCAATTCAGTGTATCGAATGGAGGGCAGGAAACATCAGAAAAAAAGGAAATTATATAGAGAATACTCAATAAGATGATTAACATAATTCTACTTTGACTCTAATTATACAAAGTTCTGGTAAGAAAAACTCACTAACTAAAAGAAAAAGAATCCATTTGCTGATTCTCATTTGATGACACAAGATATGATGACATAAGAAGTTGCTGTGGCAGTAAAGAATCCTTTACATCTAAAAGATATCTGGGTTCAAAAACAAAGAAATGGACAAAAATACATGGCCTAAAGGAA